>NC_000010.11:12282727-12434242 GCF_000001405.40 Homo sapiens | reverse complement strand
TCACAATTAGAAATATAACAACAGACTTATTTTTTTAATTTGGAAGAGAAAAATCTTAGGACTAGTTACTCAAGGTAAGAAAGCAATAGAAAAGGAAGAGAGCTCTTAGCCAGGTATGAGGGATTGCTCCTGCAGTCCCAGCAACTCAGGAGACTGAGGCAGGAGGATCACTTGAGCCCAGGAGTTCAAGGCTGCAGTGAGGTATGATCACACCACCGCATTCCAGCCTGGGTAATAGAGCAAGACCCTTTCCCCACAATAATCATAATAAAATTCACAAGGGCCAGTACCACTTCAGAGGAGGGACTTGTAGATGCAACTAAATCCAGACAGAAGGATGCACTGGGGGACCTGAAATCCCCACCCAACGACAGGAAGTCTGTGTATGTTAGGACTCTTAACATAACCCTTTACAAAGTGAGGGTTTGGCAAACTGCAGCCCCTAGAAGATGCAGAGCTGAGTGATGCCCAGGGGCAGGGGCCCAAGCACGTGGCTATCTGGCAGGTTCCTCAATGTTACTGCAAAAATGCTCTGAATCCACGAGTTTGTTTTTTCTTTTCTATGGTTTTCCATTCAGCAAATATAAACCGCATGCCAGCTTTCTGGACGCAAGGCATTGACTGGGGAGATGCCAATCACAGGCTCCAGACCCCTTACATGAGGCAAATCCTGAGAAACCACTCCAAAACTCGATGCATTCTGACCACCAGATTCCGCTTTCCTCGACCCAGTTTTATGCTTCTTTTGTTGACTAAATAACCAAGCAAAATTAAGGGAGAAGACTCTAAGGAAGCCTAGACTGTTTGTTTTGAATAAACAAATATTAAAAAAAAAAATCAAACCCTTCCACCTGAGAAAAAAATTACGCTGTACCTGGAGCAGGAAATGAGAGCAGAGGGAAAGATATCAGGCATTGGTAATTAAGTCCTGGGGTCTGCAGGAGGGAGGGCAGCTGGTAGGATGAGAATGATCAGCAAAGCTCCACAAACGTGGTAGGCAAAAAAGCAGCTGGACTGGGAAAGGTTTTCAGCAGGGAGATGGGGGATCTCCAAGCTCCTCTAATCTCTAAAAGGAGAACAGCATAAAGAGAGCAATTCTGAGGCTGTGAGAGGAAACCTGACCGAGCACCTGGTGTGTGCTTTATGGGTCTTTCCCTGGATCTTATGTAATTCACGCCCCACCTGCTCCCATGCCCGGAACACATCTGGGCACAGTCTGTGGTTCTTTTCCATGATCCGTGTGAGCTGGCTCAGGGACAGTGAAATCCCTGCATAGCACTGGCATTTACTCTAATCCCGGGGACCTTGTACATGACTCTCCCAAAGGGTCATCCTGTGCTGTGCAGCAGCTCCCATTGCCGAGACGGCACCATCTTGGGAGCAGGTGGGTGGAATCTGGCCTTCGAGAGTGTCCAGCACAGACCAGCCCAATGAGGGCAGAACACCAGTGACAAGGACACGGTAAGGGTGGACAATGGGGAATCTTCAGGGTGCAAGCAAGGCAAGCGCTGGCACCCTGACACCATTCATTCGTTCACTCATTCATTCATTATTCAACTCACCCATTCATTTATTCAACTCACTCATTTGTTCATTTGCCCATTCATTCACACATTAACTCATCTATTCACTCATTCATTCATTTATTCAACTCATTCATTTGTTCATTTGCCCATTCATTCACACATTAACTCATCCATTCACTCATTCATTTGTTCACTTGCCCATTCATTCACACATTAACTCATCCATTCGCTCATTCATTGATTTATTTATTAATTCATTCATTTATTCGTGTACTCACTCATTCATTTGTTTATTCATTCCCACTTTGGTGGGAAAGCAAAAGTCTTCAAACCAGGCCCCAGCTGGATCTGCCAGAAACACACACACAAAGACAACAGACAAATAAACCTTGGACTAAGTTTCCTGCAAACGAAGGTAAGGGTGATAGGAGAAAACTTGAGAATCACAGCCTCATGGGGCTGAGGAAAAACTCTTTGGGGCTGTCTCCCCACCACCACGGGCAAGTTTCAATCCACCTCTGTGGGTCATATGATTCCCACTCTCCCTATCACCATCTCCAAAGGCAAATTAGAGCTCCCAGGCTCTCAGAGAAACGCGGCCCAGTGTCTCCAGACAGCCCTTGGAATCTGGAAATCACTGCTCCTCTGATGTATCCAAAACCCCTCTTCCAAAGGTAGAATACCTGAGCCAAAGACTGGCCACAGTGACCTCTGCTCAAGGAGACATGGTCGGCCTTCTTGATTGCCTCTCCCCAGGGATGACAGGTCTCTCCAGACCCTGCCGCATGGCCAAAAGGGAAACACAGCTGGAGGAACTGTGACGCCAGGAGAAGAGTCAGGAATCATCAGAGGTTGCCAAGAACATCCTCAAATCCTCTGCGGATGTGAGAAGGTTGTAAATCTTAAAATGTAATATAGAAAAGCTGGATAATAGCTGTCACTTCTAGTTTTCCCAGTAATCCCTTCAGGGAAGTAGAAAAGAAGAGGAGAAAAGTCAGACCGGGTCATGCGGGTGAGATCAGAGGCTTTATTAAAGCAGGGAACGGACGCCCCCAGCTCTGGCCCTGGAGTAACAGAGCACGCTCCTCCCACCCTGGGTTCCTCAGGTGCTCCACGATAGGCAGGCGCTCTGAAGGATCTCCCTGGATTCCCCTGAGGATTAGTGCATCTTTTGAATGAGTTATTCCTCGGGAAAGTGAGGGGATTGCATCTACCTCTCGGGAGTGCACATAACTGACTCTCTTGGAGTCTGAGAATCGGCCTCTCTCCCCGACCCACCCAGTCTCTCTCCTCAGACACTGAGTGATCACAGCCTCCAGCTCACCCAGACCCACCTGTGCACCCGGCTCCTTTCTAAGCCATGAGCTGATCTCCGTTTCCACCTGTGCCCTCAATAACCAGGGATTACAGTGCAGCTGCAAAAAACAGCCCCAGGCTTCCAAGGGGCAGCAGTGGAGGTGAGATGTGTGTTTGATAACTTCCCGACAAAACTGCCTTTCACATTTTGGTTTATTGTTTTAATTTTTCTTCCTTTCTCTACTACAAGAATAAGGCAGTAAGAACAAGGTGGAGAAAGCATAATTTTTTAAAAAATAAGAAAATGAGGCTCATCTCCTAATTTATTATAAAAAATAAAAACAATAGCATTTAAAAATAATCACATGTATCAGCTGGGCATATGGTTCACGCCTATAACCCCAGCACTTTGGGAGGCCAAAGCGGGCGGATCACTTGAGGTCAGGAGTTTGAAACCAGCCTGGCCAGCATGGCGAAATCCCGTCTCTACTAAAAATACAAAAATTAGCCTGGCGTGGTGGTGCACACCTGTAATCCAGCTACTTAAGAGGGTGAAGCAGGAGAATCGGTTAAACACAGGAGGCAGAGGTTGCAGTGAGCTGAGATTGCACCACTGCACTCCAGCCGGGGCCACACAGCAAGACCCCATCTTAAAAAATCATCATCATCATCATCATCATCATCACATGTATGCACCAAAGCTCCAAGCCTGAAAAGCCCCAGAGAGCTGCAATGGAGACATATCCAATACTCGGCACGTGGATTCTATCTCCAGCTCTGCCCTAAGGAAGCGTGTGGTCGTTCACAGCCTGGGCAGCTGTCTGGTCTCAGTGTGTTTGCAAAATCAGCAATGTACTGCCTCGTTCTCAGACTCTGGTGTGTGACCCACAGACAGGACAAGGAAAAAGTCGTGTAATTAATTCAAATGACTTGGGATAAAAACTAATCTGATTTAGTGAAAGCTCTAGATGTTCTGAAGCACACTGATCCCCTTCAAGTTCATCAGATATAAAAACTCACAGCTACAGGAGGCCAAAGGACCCACAGACCTGTTCCGTGCAAGCCCACCTACCAGCAGGGCTGGTCAGTGCCTTGTGGGGCTGTGCTCTCCGGGAGAGCGGATCGTGTTCATTTGGGAATTATTGACCACAGCGCTTTGCTGAGCAATCCGTCTTTTCACGGAGCATGCAAAGGTCAACAGGGGCTTGGTCCCATCCAAATGCTCACAAATCCCAAACGAGCAGGATTGGAACAGGGGTTTTCTAGGATTATACCAGCTACTGACTTCCATCCAAGAGAGAACAGCAAGGCAGTGGGGGATGTAAGTGTTTTTGTCATTATGTATGACAAAGAACATGAAGCAGAGGAAATCAGAAGGCTGGAAAACAGTGAGAGAAGCAAGCAAGCAGGAGAGAATGTGGGAGACAAAGTGAGAGTGACTCCCCGGGGTGGGGAGGGGCAGTGCTGGGGCAGTGTTGTTCTAAGAACTGCAGTTACCCAGCCCATGTGTCCAAAGGATGCTAACCAAGTACATTAATGCAAACATTCACGCATCCTCGGTGGAGGGATTCACCAGAGGTGAAACCTTGCGTGGAGTGCAGCTGCACACAGCAACTTCCCTGGGCCCATCTCCCACAGGCACCCGGTGGTCTCAGTCACACCCACCTCGAACCTGAACTTAGTGCCAATGTTTGTCAGCCCATGTGCTAAGGGCTGGGCACAGTGAGGTGGATGACTGAAGAGGTCGTGCAGGGTCACAGGATGTTATAAGAGAGAATGGGGGCCAGGCATGGTGGCTCACGCCTGTAATCCCAGCACTTTGGGAGGCTGAGGTGAGTGGATCACCTGAGGTCAGGAGTTCGAGACCAGCCTGGCCAATATGGTAAAACCCCATCTCTACTAAAAATACAAAAATTAGCCAGGCACGATAGCGCGCACCTATAATCCCAGCTACTCAGGAGGCTGAGGCAGGAGAATTGCTTGAGCCTTGGAGGCAGAGGTTGCAATGAGCCGAGATCACACCACTGCACTCCAGCCTGGGTGACAAAGCGAGACTCTGTCTCAGGAAGAAAAAAAGAGAGAGAGAATGGGGAAGGGGAAGAGAGCATGGGACATTTGGTGGTCAGGGGAGACTGCCTGGAGGAGGTGGCATTCACACTGCAGGCTGGAGAATGAGAAAGAAGAGTGGGGGAGAAGGGGTCAGCAAAGAGGAAAGCACGTGTGTGAGGCCCTGAGACCAGAGAGGGCTTGGGGGCTGGGGAACTCAAGGCAAGCCAGAGTGGCAGGGGTGGGCGATGAGGGAGGCACAATGTGGGAGATGGCAGTGGGTGGGCAGAGGCCACACCATACCCCCATTCCTGGCCAAAGTGAGTGTCATCCTGCATTCGGGCTGCTACAGCAAAGTACCATAAACCTGGTGGCTCATAAACCACACATTGACTTCCCACGGTTGGAGGCTGGAGGTCCAAGATCACGGTGCTAGCAGGGTTGGGTTCTGGTGAGCGCCCTCTTCTGGGTATGGACAGCCACCTTCTTGCTGTATCCTGACACAGTGGCGAGGCAGCTCTATGGGGTCTCTTTGATAAGGACATTAATCTCATTCAGGAGGGCTCCCCCTTTATGACCTAATCACCTCCCAAAGGCCCCACTTCCTAACACCGTCGCATTGGGAGTGAGAATTTCAACAGAGAAATTTCGTGGGGACACAAGCTTTCGGCTCCTAACAGTAAGGAAGCTGGGTTGTGTTCTAAGGGCAGTGGGAGCCAGCAGAAGCCTGACATGGGACAGTGCCCAGATCCCGCTGGCCTCTTCCCGGGGCTGCCCTGGCTCAGTGGGGAGGCGAAGTTGAAGAGGAACGGGATGAAAGGCAGAACCCCACGGGAAAGCTATCAGATCCACCCAGAAAAGAGAAGGTGGTGTCTCAGACCAAGGTGGTATTAGCAGAGAGAGAGAGAAACGGGCACCTTGAGGAATACCATGAGATAGAATGTCGAACGTGGAGAAAGAAAAGAAATTTTGGTGAGAAAGAATAGACAGTCTTTAACAAGCTATCTATATTCAAGGGCCTAAAAGCTCCCCACCTAATTCACAAAAAGCCCAGGTAAGAGGGCTCAGAAAAGCCAGCAGGGATTCTAGGCAGGATGGACACAACCCAACTCTTTCCTGTAAGAAAGGGTAAGTTCAAATGAGAACACATGGACACAGGGAGGGGAACATCACACACCTGGGCCTGTCAGGGGATGGCGGGATAGGGGAGGGATAGCATTAGGAGATATACCTAATGCAGATGACGGGTTGATTGATGGGTGCAGCAAACCACCATGGCATGTGAATACCTATGTAACAAACCTGCACATTCTGCACATGTATCCCAGAACTTAAAGTATAATAATTAATTAATTTAAAAATAAAGAGCGGCTGGGCACAGTGGCTCATACCTGTAATCCCAGCACTTTGGCAGGCCAAGGTGGGAGGATCACAAGGTCAGGAGATCGAGACCATCCTGGCTAACATGGTGAAACCCCGTCTCTACTAAAAATGGAAAAATCAGCCAGGCATGGTGGCATGCACCTGTAATCCCCGCTACTCAGGAGGCTGAGGCAGGAGAATCGCTTGAACCCGGGAGGAAAAGGTTGCGGTGAGCCAAGGTCATGCCACTGCACTCCAGCCTGGGCAAAAGAGCAAGACTCCGTCTCAAAAAAAAAAAAAAAAAAAAAAAAACAGTAAGTTCAGTGAAGCCAGGAAAGTATCTCCAGCCCCATGAAATTCCTCCAGAAATAAATGCTTGAAACCAAATGAAGGAGAACCAAGTTCCAAGTTCCAAGATGGCCAGTGGAAGGCCAGGCTGGGGCGCTGGTTATTCTCTGCCCTCCCAGACCTGTCCCCCACCTTCTCCCTGTCCGGGGAGGCCAAGACTGGCAGACGGTGTCACCCAGGCCACTTGTCCTCCAGCTTGGGGGCCGGCTGATGGGAGACACTGTCAGGAGAGCAGAGGGCAAAAGGAGAGAGATCGGCGGATTCTTCCCCAGCCTCTCCATGCTTTGGGACTCTGCTGTCCCCGCACCCCACTTCCCTCTGGGCAGCCACCTGCCATGGCTCCAGGACTCTCCGAGGTCCTCCCCTGGCCCCTTTTGCCTAGGGGTGAACTGGTCTTTGGGTCCCTAACCCTACCCACCCTCTGGAATCAGTCCCTCCATCAAAGTATCTTCATCTTCACCATCTAAAATTTGTTCCCTTTCCTGCCGGGGCTCCATCTGAAATGCCAGTGATGCCCAGTTGTCCTGAGAAACATCTACAGCATGCCAGGACTTTGGGAGGCCAAGGCAGGAGGATCGCTTGAGCCCAGGAGTTCGAGACCAGTCTGGGCAATATAGGGAGACCTCATTTCTTTAAAAACAGAAAATTAAGGCTGGGCACAGTGGCTCAGGCCTGTAATCCCAGCACTCTGGGAGGCCGAGGCAGGCGGATCACTTGAAGTCAGGAGATCAAGACCAACCTGGCCAACATGGTGACAGCCTGTCTCTACTAAAATTACAAAAATTAGCTGGGCGTGGTGGCATGCACCTGTGGTCCCAGCTACTCAAGAGGCAGAGGCTAGAAAATTGCTTGAACCCCGGAGGTGGAGGTTGCAGTGAGCCAAGATAGCGCCATTGCACTCCAGCCTGAGTGACAGAGCACGACTCTGTCTCAACAACAACAACAAAAATTAGCTGGGTGTGGTGGCACGCACCTGGGGTCCCAGCTACTTAGGAAGCTGAGGTGGGAGGAACACTTGAGCCCAGGAGTTCAATGCTGCATGAAGCCCTGATCCCACCACTGCACCCCAGCCTGGGCTGGGTGACAGAGTAAGATCCTGTCTCAAAAAGAAAAAATTCCCAGCTGGGCATGGTGGCTCACGCCTGTAATCCCAGCACTTTGGGAGGCTGAGGCCGGCAATCAGCTGAGGTCGGGAGTTCAAGACCAGCCTGACCAATATGGAGAAACCCCGTGTCTACTTAAAACACAAAATTAGCCGGGCATGGTGGCGCATGCCTGTAATCCCAGCTATTCCAGAGGCTGAGGCAGGAGAATCACTTGAACCTGGGAGGTGGACGTTGCAGTGAGCCGAGATCATGCCACTGCACTCCAGCCTGGTCAACAAGAGAAAAACTCCATCTCAAAAAGAAAAAGGAAAAAAATATCCCTTCACAGCAAAAATACAACAGCCTAAACAGGCAAGTCTTGAGCTGCAGGATGAGCTTCCCATTACCAGGGCTGACTCCACGTCAAGCCTAAATACTGCATGGCCCAAAGACATCTCATGAAAGAGGAATTGTTGCAATGCTCAAAATAACAGCTTATCATGAACGGTGCACTAAAGAGGAAACTGTAAAATAATACCAAGATCAGCTAAAGTTAGCTAATGCTGGAGGTGACATATACCTGGCATGGGCTGTTCTCCAGTGAGCCTGAATTATTTAATAGCAGGATGAGAATTTTTTAGTCTGTTTTCTCAGTTCTTCCACCAGTGCATGCAAAAATGTTCCTGGGGCAGGATTTAAAGTCTGCCTGTCATCATATTTTAAATAAAGTGGGACAACTGATAAATTATATTTTCTTATTTGGGAGGAATCCCACTTCTGTCTCGCCCATATATTCGCTTGTTCAACAAATATGTATCAAGCAATGATTATGTGGCAGGCACTCAACTAACCTCAGCGAGCTGTGCCCAAGACATTCATCCTTGTCCTCAAGAGACTCTAGATGAGGAACAGGATAAATAAGCAATTCGGATCCCAGGCAGTAAGTGGTGCACAGGGCTAAGAAGAGGTTCTGGAGGGCGTAGGCAAAGGGGCACCTTGGCTGAGGGCGGTGGCTCACGCCTGTAATCCCAGCACGTTGGGAGGCCGAGGCAGGCAGTTCACCCGAGGTCAGGAGTTCAAGACAAGCCTGGCCAACGTGGTGAAACCCCGTCTCTACTAAAAATACAAAAATTAGCTGGGCGTGGTGGCACACGTGTATAGTCTCAGCTACTCAGGAAGCTGAGGCAGGAGAATCACTGGAACCTAGACGCCAGAAGTTGCAGTGAGCCGAGACTGCACCATTGCACCCCAGCCTGGGGGACAGAGCAAGACTCTGTCTCAAAAAAAAAAAAAAAGAAAGAAAGAAAGAAAGAAAAGAAAGGGGCACCTTATCTAGTGCTGAAGAGAAAACGGGAAGGTCTCCCAGATGGGATGGGATTTAAGTGGAGGCCTAGAGGGTGCCCAGGAGCCAGCTGGGGAGAAGGGACCATGGGTCAGACTCCATGCAGATGGACCACGTGGTCAAGGCTGGAGGTGAACATGAAGATGTGGCATAGCCCCCACCGTCCAGTGTGGCTGGAGCAGAATGTGACTCGGGTGGCACATCAATCATGGAAGGCCTTATAAGTAGAGAGACCACAGGGTGTATCACCTGAACCAGGAAGTGTTTAAGAGTGACACATTTACACCAGGAAAAATTATATATACCAGGGCTGTCTCAGACAAACCAGATGTCGTATGGTCGGACCCTCTATTAGATGATGCAAGAGGGAGTTGAATGAAGCTTCATGGGTGATGGGAAGTCCCTAATGGGTTTTTGGTTTTTTTGTGTGAGATGGGGTCTCGCTCTGTTGCCCAGGCTGGAGTGCAATGGTGCAATTATGGCTCACTGCAGCCGTGATCTCCTGGGCTCAAGTGATCCTCTTGCCTCAGCCTCCCGAAGTGCTGGGACTACAGGCATGAGCCACCACAGCCAGCCCTGATGGGTTTTAAACAGAGGAATAACATGGTCAGACTTGTACTTTGAGAATCACTTTGGACCCACTGTGGAAAATACGCTGGACTGGGGCCAAGATAGAAGGAAGCGAGACCAGCAAAGGCGCTGCTGGAGAAATTCACGGAGGAGGCAGTGAGGGCTCAGGGGTGAGTATGCATGTTTGGTGAGGGAAGGCGTTCCTAAAAATAGGTAGGGTCAAGAGATTTAAATTGAAATCTGAGAAACTGCACCAATCAGACTTGGAGGAGGGATTAGAAAAGGGGGATTGGGAGGAGAGGTGAGAGGTGGGGGAAAGAGCCAAAACTGTAACTGGACGTCCATCTTGGGTGACAAGAGGAGAATGTCAGGCCACACGGAGCTAGAGACTTGGTGGGAACATTTGTCGGGGAGAGGGAGGGGACAATGGAGCTCACTTAGACTCACACTGGGCTTGCTGACTTAGAGGTATCCAGGAGCAGCTGGATTTAGGGGCCAGAGTTCAAGAAGAGGGCCTGGGCTGGGAAAGGGGGCTTGGGAATTATCCCACCGAGTGGCCCCGGGACCAGGCAGTGGTGGGGACATGCGAGGGAGAAGTTTCCATGGCCAGTTAGGACGAACAGGCCGCACGGCGTGGATGAAGAGGCCAAAGACGGCGAGATGGGTGGCCTTGAAGGGTATCACCTGATGAGGGATGGGGGGACCGAACAACGCAGCTCAAGACCCTGCCCAGGAAGGCACAGGACCCCGCTGAAGAGCAGCAGAGACTCAATCACTGAGGCTCAAGCACAAGGCTTTTCTCATTTCAGATACACACCACTCAGGGCCTTTTTCTAGATTTTGGCACCACAGAAACCAAACCTCAGAACAACCAACTTAGTCAGGCTAACGCATTCCTGGCTGTCTGAACAACCTGAGGGGAAACGCTTCTTGTATCCAATTCTGAGACATTCAAAACTATCGTTTCAAGCTGGCTTGAATCTGATTGGGAAAAGGAAGACTGAATTTCTGCCGCTGACGCTTCCAGACCAACAGAGGTTCCCTGTACCTGGGAGTTCTGGATATTCACAGGCAACTCACACAGGAGCCGGAGGTAATAGAATTTATTTGTCATGAGGTAGAATTGAAGGGGCCTTTCTTTCTTTTTTTTCTTTAGAAACAGACTCACTCTGTCCCCTGGGCTGGAGCGTAGTCACAGGATCATAGCTCACTGCAGCTTCAACCTCCTGGGCTCAAGTGATCCTTCCACCTCAGCCTCCTAGGCAACAAGGACCACAGCACAAGCCACCATGCCCAGTAAATGTTTTCTACTTTTTTGTAGAGATGGGGTCTCACTTTGTTGCCCAGGCTGTCCTCGAACTCCTGGTCTTAAACGATCCTCCCACCTTGACCTCTCAAAGTGCTGGAGTTACAGGCGTGAGCCACTGCACCTGGCCGAAGGGGCCTTTCTTTATGATACAGCTAAGTGGTCACCCGTATAATATTAGATGAGATGGATAGTACAAAAGGAAATTGCCCAAGTCCTAGAAGAACACAGAAGCGGCATCAACATCCCTTCTTCCCTCCTTTATTCTGCATCATAAAAACATCGCGTGCTTTCTAGATACAAGCCCAAGTTTCATGTACAAAAGCAAACCCTCCCCAAAAGAAACAAGTCATAGTGTATAAATTATTACAAGCAAAACCCATTACAATAGCCGGGCTCGGTGGCTCACGCCTGTAACTCCAGCACTTTGGGAGGCCAAGGCAGGCAAATCACTTGAGGTCAGGAGTTCGAAACCAGCCTGATCAACATGGAGGAACCCCGTCTCTACTAAAAATACAAAAATGAGCCAGGCATGGTGGCAGGCGCCTGTAATCCCAGCTACTCAGGAGGCTGAGGCAAGAGAATCACTTGAACCCAGGAGGCAGAGGTTGCAGTGAGCCGAGATTATGCCACTGCACTCCAGCCTGGGCGACAGACTGAGACTCTGTCTCAAAAAAGAAAAAAAAAAAAATTATATTAACCCACATATTTCCCAAAGAGAGCTCAGACTCTCAAACACTTCCATAAGCCCAAATCCTGCTTTCCATTTCTCTACAAGCTCTTTTTTGGAGGGGAGAGCTCTAGGCCTCTTGCATTTGGCCAGGTGTTCAGGGGGCATGCTGCAGCTTGGAATCCAGCAGTCATTCGTATCCAGGCATCGCATCCCCTCGTAAGACCTGTTCTCAGGTGGCAATGCCCCAGGCATGGGCCGCCTGCAATCAGAGCTAGTGAGTTCATTTCTGATCACTGTGTAATTATCCCATTACCAACACACGCTGAAAATCAAGAATAACCGGAGAAAGGCAAGACTCCCTTCTTTGTTCCTCCTGTTACACACGACTAAAATCCGGACTATAGTCGTCACCACCAGACTTGTTTGCCCCTCAACACCTGCTAGCAGTTGAATCAAGGAGGATTTTCACACCGTATAACCACCAAATAGCAATGAAAAAATCACTCCTGAATACCTGCCCCCAAGGGAATAGAATAAAAACCACAAGGGCATGATCAGGAGCTATCAAAAAGTGTCCCAAGACTGGGCACAGTGGCTCACACCTGTAATCCCAGCACTTTGGAAGGCCAAGGCGGGCGGATCACCTGAGATCGGGAGTTCAAGACCAGCCTGACGAACATGGTGAAACCCCATCTCTACTAAAAATTAGCCAGGCATGGTGGTGGGCACCTGTAATCCCAGCTACTCGGGAGGCTGAGGCGGGATAATCGCCTGAACCCAGGAGGCGAAGGCTGCAGTGAGCCAAGATCAAGCCATTGCACTCCAGCCTGGGTGACAGAGCAAGACTCTGTCTCAAAAAAATAAGAGTCCCAAATACCTGCCCCCAAGCGAATAGAAAAAAAACCACAAAGGCATGATCAGGAACTATCAAAAAGAGTCCTGGGTAACCAGCCTGGCCAACCTTGCAAAACCCCACCTCTACTAAAAATATAAAAATTAGCCAGGCATGGTGATGCACACCTGTAGACCCAGCTACTTGGGAGGCTGAGGCAGAAGAATCGCTTGAACCCAGGAGGCAGAGGTCGTAGTGAGTCCAGATTGCACCACTGCACTCCAGCCTGGGCAACAGAGCAAGACCTTGTCTCAAAAAAAAAAAAAAAAAAAAAAAAAAAAAAAAGAATCCTGGATAAATGGCCCAGCATGACCAAGGGAGACAGTGGAATACGGCAAGAGCCACACTGAAACAGCAGCTATGGTTTGATCATTCTGGCTGGACTCAGCTATACTGCGGCTAGGGAACATCTGGGTTTGAAGCTCCGGGACATCATCGGGCAAAGCACACTGGGCTTGTCCTGCCCACACACACTGTGACCGCCGGTATTAACCGTAGAAACTAGATGCTTTATTCATAGGATTTTTCTCTGCACAGTAAAGCTCTCAGAGCAAAACACAGGCTGATCTGAGCTTGAGAGAAAGGGATTCCTATCCTAGGATGTGAACATGGGAAGGAGACCAGGCCCAGGTACCTGAAGCTTACACCCGCCTAGTCTTAGATTTCTTGATGGATTCTGGGCTTGCCTTCACCTCAACACCACGCCATTCAGCCTGTCCCGTCTCCTAAAGTGTAGAAGGCTGGAGATTATATGATACAGCCTGCAAGACTCTGAGTGGTGCTGTTCAAACCAGCAAGAAGGACTTCTCTGGCATGAGGGAAAGCAATACACCTGTCTCTCTCCCAGATAAAAGGAAGAGGCGAGCTCACAGAACAGACGTGGCAGGAGCTCCACCTGCAGCAGCCAACCTCCCCCTTGTCTGAGTACTGGAGCCCTCAGTTGTCCCAGATACCAACGTGAGCCCAGGGGAAAGATGACAGCCCTCTAAAAATGCAAGAAAACACATCGAACATTTCATTTTATAGGAGAGAAGTGGAGTCATTCTCAGGCAGGTTAGTAACTTGGCACTGGTCTTCATGGCCCTGATGTAATATACTTCGTTTTCTCCTGAAACCCCTGAAACCTTCCTGGATTATCCAACAGCTCTTAGCAAGACAGAGGCTGTTAGAAATATGCAGAATCCCTAAGTAGTTTGGGGGCACATTCCATTTTTCTAGACAATTAAAAAAAAAAGAGTATATTTGACTAAGGTGTCCACCAAAAAGTCCCAAACAAATCAATAAGGGTTAATTAGTAAACCTCAGTTACCTCAAGATCTTACTAAGCCATAAAATCCACTGCCAATAATGCCTTGTTGGAGTTATGAAAACAAAACAAAATAATTCATAAAGTAGTAAGAACTATTAAAGTAAAATCATTAAAGTTCATTCATTTGAAGTGGACCATCAAGGGTAATATGAAAAGGACTACTACTACTACATCAGCTGCCACCAGCTCTATCACTAAAATACCGTATTTTTTAAAGTTACATAGACATGGGCCAGGCGTGGTGGCTCACGCCTCTAATCCCAGCACTTTGGGAGGCCGAGACGGACAGATCACAAGGTCAGGAGTTCAAGACCAACCTGGTCAACAAGATGAAACCCTGTCTCTACTAAAAATATAAAAATTAGCTGGGCGTGGTGACAGGCACCTGTAGTCCCAGCTACTCGGGAGGCTGAGGCAGGAGAATGGCGTGAACCCGGGAGGCGGAGCTTGCAGTGAGCCGAGAGCTCGACACTGTGCTTCAGCCTGGGCGACAGAGCAAGACTCTGTCTCAAGAGAAAAAAAAAAAAAAGTTACATAGATGTCATTTTTCACTAAGGCTGAAAAAAGTATTCTATCTAATTATTCACTGCTTACTAAAAATTCTAAAAAACTCAACTTAGTTTATTAAATCACTATGACAACAGGATCCACCCAGAGTCATGTTTCTGGTGGAAAAGCTACTGTGGTAACCACTTATTTACAAAAGAAAACCTAACGAGAAAACCCAACATATACAAAGTCCTAAGAAGCTGAAAAAACAGTTTTTCTAATCTCAGTATTTTCTGCAACCTAGAAGTTAACAAGAACTCTATTTTTGCGTGTGTGTGTGTGTGTGTGTGTGTGTGTGCATTTTCTCTTCTGATCTAAGACTGAATCACTTTCTGGCTTCATTCAGAATCCACTGAGGCCCGGTGGGGAGTGAGGTGTGCAATTTTATGCACTAAGAAAACCACAGCGGTGACTCATGTCTAATATGTGCCCTGCATGTTGTCAAGAAAGGCTGTGGAAAAGTCAGGAAACAGGACTTGGCTCTGGTTATCGCGTGTATTTCCCCATTTTTCATAGTAACTTGGAAAATGTTGCTACCCAACATTGGAAAATGTTACTGCGCAGTGTTCACAGGTGTCGGGATAACCCAGTTCTATTCTGGGAACTTTGAGTTCCGTGGCCCCAGGCTCCCAACCTCACCTCCTTGAGTTTGGTTTTCTCACTCTTGCCTTTTATTTATTTTTTTTTTCATAGGGGCAGAAAGTAGGGGTGAGTATTCATGAGATCATGGCTGTTGAGTTTTGAGGAAAATATATGGTAAAGTCATTATAGCTTATAAAATCTCCCGTCCCTGGGGTTTTAAAAGGCAGGAGGGAATGCCATTCATTTGAGATGATGAAGTTTGAAACGGATGACCTCTCAGACACCTTTCCGAATGTGAGGTCCAAAAGAGACAGGGAAGTTCATTCAATAGGGAAAGTCAAGCACCAATGTTGAAACAGGCAGCTGCTCTTAAGTGTTCTGTGAGCAACGGCTTCGGACACACCACGCCCGCGACTGAGGCCTTCCACCTATGGCCACTCTCGGCTGAGGCCTTCCATCTATGGCCACTCTGCAGGACATCCCTCGGCAGGGGTGGACGGTCACTCCCCATCTCCCACCACGTGGGGGTCTGCAACTCCCAGACACACCCAGCAATTGGAACCTTTGCTCAACTGACTGATCAAGTCTTTTCTAGTAATACCTTCATTCGTTTTAATACTTTTTAAAAGGTTTCATTTTGGACTAGCAAATCAGAAAAAAAATTTAATGCTGATCACTGGCAAGGATGTGATAAGAAGGTCATGCTCACACATTGCTAGTTGGAGTGCAATACATAACTTTTTTTAAAATAAGAGAGAGTCTTGCTCTGTCACCCAAGCTGGAATGCAGTGCATGATCCTAGCTCACTGCAGCCTCAAACTCCTAGGTTCAAGCAATCCTCCCACCTCAGCCTCCCCAGTAGCTAGGACTACAGGCATATGCCACGGTGCCCAGCTAATTCTTTAAAATTTTTTGTAGAAATGAGGATGTGGCTATGTTGCCCAGACTGCTCTTGAACTCCTGGCCTCAAGTGACCCTCCCATCTCAGCCTCCCAAAGTGCTGGGATTACATGCATGAGCCAGATGCCCAGCCCATCTCCATCTCTAATCAGTCAACAGCTGGCCAAGCTTTCTTCTTTCACAAGGCATGGCCGCGTTGCAATCATATGTTTTGATGGCATGTTCTCTGCCTCATCTGACCTGCTGGACTGAGGCCTACCAAGTAATTCATTCTCCTCCCACACCCTGGGGATCCATATTCATTCTTGCTTACTGCATCATCTGGCAGGGCGAGGGCTTCTTTTAAAGAGCATCGAGGCCAGGCGTGGTGGCTCACTCTTGTGAGCACTTTGGGAGGCCAAGGCGGGCCTCTTGAGGCCTTGAGGTCAGGAGTTCGAGACCAGCCTGGCCAACATAGTGAAACCTCGTCTCTACTAAAAATACAAAAATTAGCCGGGTGTGGTGGCAGGCGCCTGTAATCCCAGCTATTCGGGAGGCTGAGGCAGGAGAATCACCTGAACCCAGGAGGCGGAGGTTGCAGTGAGCCAAGATCATGCCACTGCACTCCAGCCTGGGTGACAGAGTGAGGCTCCATCTCAAAAAAAAAAAAGGCAAAAAATAATTATTACTGTTATAAAGAGCATAGAGATGCCCACTACCCATTGGCCTTCCACATAAGAGTGTAGCCACTCCATCGCAGGACCTCCGTGTTCCTTGCTTACACAGCTCCCCAGATGGCCAGCCTCGGGCCTCCCCCAGCCCTCATTTCTGAAGGAGCCAGGAGGTAGAGGAAACACTAGGAGGCTTGGAACTCAACTGTGGCTGAACCCCAGTTCCCAGGCCAACAGCCCAGGGCCAAGCCATCTCCCCACCCCAGCCGGAGCCCCAGAGGCTGCCCTCTGCAGAACCCTGAGCAATTCCCCTGGCTGGATGCCACCTAAACAACTCCTGGTTACCTCTTGCTCTGTAAGGGATCCCGCCTCTGTTTTCTTTCTCTCGAACCTGTTTTCTCTGGCACAGCAGTATCCCCAAAATTCCTTGCTCTCTTCAAAACATGACATTGACAGTCTGTTCAAACCTCCCTGGAGCATCACCCAAATCCACAGTGTAGTTCTCCTGTTCTTTGTCTCTCTCTCTCTCTCTCAGTCTCTTTTTCTGTCTTACATACACACACAGATGGAAGA
This sequence comes from Homo sapiens, assembly GCF_000001405.40. Classification (NCBI taxonomy): domain Eukaryota; kingdom Metazoa; phylum Chordata; class Mammalia; order Primates; family Hominidae; genus Homo; species Homo sapiens. The sequence goes on along the minus strand of NC_000010.11, from coordinate 12,417,233 downwards.
AGACTCAGAAGGTCATAGGGTCCATCATCCTGCGTCTAGGTAATAAAAATAATATTAACAGCTAATATTTTTTGAAAACTTGCTATATGCCAGGCACTGAGGTAAGTTCCTCCCATGGATGTTCTATGAGAGACAAGTACTGCCACTGTCCCCATTTTACAGATGAGGACAGAGAGGCTTCGGGGGCTTGAGGAACCTTGTCCAAAGTCCCACCATTAAACTGGGATGCAGGCCCAAGCAGTGTGACCCCGGGCCCCCAGTGACAATTAACAACCACCTCCATGGGTCTCAGCCGTCTACAGCATCGCTAGCACCGGAAGGTTTTTAGGGAGTCTACCAACAACACAATCAGACACACCCAAGGCAAAGCTCATTTTTGGCAGAACATGCCCTGGAAAGCTGGGAGCAAAGGGGAAGCCCTGGAGTAAGCTCAGCTGAACTGATAAGGAAAGGGCAGAACCCACCGGAAAAACAGAACTTCACTCTTGCTGGAAACTGACACAGAGTATGGCAAGTGAGTTCTGCTTCTCTCCACCGCCCAGTGCTAGTCAGAGCCCTCCCTCCGGTGCTCAGCAAGACCCCGGCCTTACAGCAATTCCACTCTGCAAATGAAGCCCTTCACCATGAGCAGCTTCCCCAGGGCACAACTGTGGGATTTTTCTGCACGGACTCTTGGCCTGGCCCCATCCGACAGTTTATAAATGAAGGCCTCCAGCCGGAGCTGCAGCAGAGCAGAGACAGGAGCGGAGACCCTTGAGTCATCCAACCCCTGTTCTGTGCTACACTCTTTTTCCAACTCTAAATTTTATGTGCAACCAGCAAGCAATCAAGACAGGAAAAACAAGCAAAGTTTTACATACACCGACAAAATGCTGATCTGTCTATTCTATTAATAATACAAAATCTCAGCAAATGCAAATGGCATTGCATGCATAATTCCATAAAAAGTTAAATCCACACTAAATGTTTCCACCTGAAGTGACATTTCCAGCGACTTCTCCATTAATATAGTTAACGCTGTTTTTTTAAAGAGATTATTCTGTATCTCCTAAAAAAAATGTAGATGCTAAAAAAAAAACAAGAATAATATCCAAAAAGTGAATTCTATATACCACCTTTTATTCTGAAATACTGCACGTCGTAGCACAAGACTAACCCACAATCATATAGTTAGAAATATTTCTGCCCACAGTCTAATGCGAATGGTTTTTCGCTTTCTTTTTTCTTTTTTTCCAGGTCTCAGTGTAATACTAGCGCTAAAGGAATAATAATCAACCTCAGATTCAGAACATATGCCAAACTGCTCAAACTGAGGCTGAAGGATCACTTGAGCCCAGGAGGTCGAGGCTCCAATGGGCTGTGATTGTGCCACCGCACTCTAGCCTGGACAACAGAGCGAGACCTTGTCTCAGAAAAAAAGAAAAAAAAAAGCCATCTCATTATCAACCATGTCTATCTTTTTTTAAAAGAAGACAAAAAAAAAAAAACGTAATTTTAATCCACTTCCGTAGGGAAGTGACTTCTTAGCACTGACTTTAGAATAATGACACAAAATATCTTGAAGTAGGACCTTGAAAAATAGTCATGAACATGTAACATGGAAGAAACAAGTTTCAGAAAATATAAATACAGGGGGCCAGGCACGGTGGCTCATGCCTGTAATCCCAGCACTTTGGGAGGCCAAGGCAGGTGGATCACCTGAGGTCAGGAGTTTGAGACCAGCCTGGCCAACATGGTGAAACCTCATCTCTACTAAAAAAAAAAAAAAAAAAAAAAAATTAGCCAGGCGTGGTGGTGGGTGCCTGTAATGCCAGCTACTTGGGAGGCTGAGGCAGGAGAATCGCTTGAACCTGGGAGGCGGAGGTTGCAGTGAGCCAAGATCGTGCTACTGCACTCCAGCCTGGGCAACAACGGCGAGACTCTGTCTCAAAATAAATAAATAAATACAGAATACATATATCACCAGCAAATACTCCAAGATACTCAAGGAAATGGCTAGCAGATGTCCTAAGTCACTTTGTTTTTAAAAAGAAATATCACATGCATTTTAAGTGATATTAATAGACTGGAAACCCTTTGGAAAAAGGCAGCTGCAATCTTCAAGAAAAGGAAAGTTAATGAACTAAGAAAGGTGGCCCTGACTATAATAATCAGACACATGAAAACAAGAGGAAAATCTATAAACATGGGAAGGTAACAGAATCAAACTGGGAAACATAACGGATCTATAAAAGAAAATCAAAGAGAGTTAACTAGATTTTTTTTCCCGAAGAAATTCCAAACGAGTGTTAAATGGAACCTTTTGAAAACAGAAAAGAAACTCACTCTCCATAATTTATTTCCTTAATTTGAACTGAATTTGGCCATCAAGCAAGATCTGAAAAACCTCAAATAAAACTATGTCTACACAGGCCAAGCCAAATGGAGAATTAAGGCAATCAATCATTCAACTAATCAAGGCAAAAAGCTAGGACACTATGACTAAGAAACAGCGTGTCTCAAGGAAACGATCCAAATTCAAATTAATGGGAATAGTTGCTACATTTTCTTCAACACTTTGCCTAAAATATTCCAAAACAATGATGAAAGCTCATCAGAACATTTTCAGAAAGGTGCCTACAAGTAGGCATTAGTGTTAAATTTATTCCAACAGCGAGGCTCGAGAAAACTGTAAAAAGTTTGAAAAATGCAAAATGCTTGTACAAAACGTACATCTCCCACTGACTATGAGAAATTCAGACACGACAGATAACATGGCAGATCAGAAACTCGAGCCAGGTTCCTCCCAGCCAACCACTCTCCCCAGCTATTTTTCCCTAAAACCACAGAGGAAAAAGATAATTTCAAAGATGAAACATGTCACAACTAATATAGCTACTGTACACAAATGCTGTCTTCTTTGTAAACTCACTTTACTACAAGATACCAGGTTTTTGCAACACAGAAAGTTTACTGCAATTGTCATCAGAAAACGTTATAAAACATCCAAGACTCAGCAAAACTAATAAACGCATGCCTCCTATTTCGCCATCTCCATTCCTTCTATCTCCTCTTTAGAGGGAGGAAATTTCAAATTAAAGAACTAAACTACACATTTATTATATTATGGTTTTCAGATTTTTGGATTTCAGAGAGCTGTACAATTTTCCCAACTATCAGGGAACTGGATGAGAGTTGCTAAATCTTAATTTTTCAAGTAAGGTCAGTACATCCAAACTACCATACTGTCACCACCATTTCATGAGAGAAAAGATATCTCATCGTTAGAAAACAGGAAAGACCCTCATTTTAAGGTGAAAAAGGGATAAGCCCTTCCATTTAATACATTTGGATTTCTAAAAACCCCACTGCATTATCTTTCTCATTTTACTGCATACCAGTGACAAATTCACAGCAGGTAGGCCCAAGCTCCTCATCTCCAAACTGTGAAAATATGGCTAACAGACTTTTTTTTTCAAACAAACAATGGCAAAGTTTTGGTCTGAAATATATGGCATGACAATGGAATGGAATATTTGAAATCAGAACTATCCCAAATCCAGAGATTCAATATCCACAAACACCAGCAAATTAGCAACTTCTCCTTCAAACCCACATTTCTCTGTCCTTCCATAATTAGCATCACCATCATCATCACCACCACCAGTACTATCATCATCCCCAATGTCATCATCATCATTATCACCATCATACTCATCATCATCACCATTATCACCATCATCATCACCACTGTCATCATCGCCATCATCACAAAACATACACCCCAGAGAAGAGAACAGGGCCTGACTTCTCTCTAACACACTGATAAAGTTTGGATATTTGTCCCTGCCCAAATGTTATGATGAATTGTACTCCCCAGTGCTGGAGGTGGGGCCTGGTGGGAGGTGTCTGGGTCATGGGAGCGGATCCCTCACAGCTTGGTGCTGTCTTCCTGACAGTGAGTTCTTGCAAGTGTGTGGCACTCCCCTTCCCGCCTCGCTCTCACTTGCTCCTGCTTTCACCATGTAACGTGCCTGCTCCCCCTTTCCCCTCCACCATGACTGTAAGCTTCTGAGGCTTCTGAGGTTTCTCTAGAAACCAAGCTGATGACAGACCATGCTTCCTGTACAGCCTGCAGAACCATGAGCCAATTAAGCCTCTTTTCTTGATCAATTACCCAGTCTCAGGTATTTCTTTAGAACAATGCAAGAACAGCCTAATATACACACCATTCTGCCTGGACCCACATTGGGGCTCCCAGAACCTCCCTATATGAATAAAACCCAGAGTGGGTGAGGGCAGAATCTTAGTTCCACCACAAGACAAGTGGCAAAACGCAGTAGGATGCGTTCATGAACCCTTTCCAGGGACAGAAAGACCCGGGAGGGCCAAGCACAGATGCTCCAGTGATTCATCTGAGAGAAGCAGAGGGAAGGGGCTAGAAAACTCAGTACCAAACACCCCACTTCACCACGGCCTCCCCCCAGGCATCTGCTACAACTTAAGACTGGTTTCCTTTTTAATGGACACCTGTTCCACTCTTTTTTTTTTTTTTTTTTTTGATGGCGTCTCACTCTTGTTGCCCAGGCTGGAGTGCAGTGACACGATCTCGACTTTTTTTTTTTTTTTTTGAGATGGCGTCTCACTCTTGTTGCCCAGGCTGGAGTGCAGTGACACGATCTCGGCTCACTGCAACCTCCGCCTCCAGGGTTCAAGTGATTCTCCTGCCTCAGCCTCCCGAGTAGCTGGGATTACAGGCATGTGCCGCCACGCCTGGCTAATTTTTTTTTTTTTTTTTTGTATTTTTAGTAAAGACAGGGTTTTGCCATGTTGGCCAGGCTGGTCTCGAACTCCTGATCTCAGGTGATCTGCCCACCTCAGCCTCCCAAAGTGCTGGGATTACAGGCATGAGCCACCGCACCCAGCCCCACTTTTCTCTTTCTAGTCGCTGTAAAGAGGGGCAACCAGCACACTGGGCCAGGCTACGGGAAGCGGAGGCAGGGGACAGCTTCCCCTCTATTCATCCCATCAACAGTCATCAACGCCACCAGCTCACACTACAGGTGGGGTTGCAGGAGGCACCAGGAGATGAGGACTGTGATAAAAGAAAAGCCCCATTTGCTGTAAAATGGTGGGAAAAGAACACATCTGTGTTACTAGAGCCCTGGTCTTCAATATTCTACTTTGCCTCTCTGGCCAGTTGTCACCTGAGAAACCAGCCCACGCTGATAGACTCAAACCTCAAGCAAGACTGGTGTAAAGACATCAGCGGATGTTCTATCCTTTGTTCAAAGTCATTATTTTGATTCTTGACTTTGTAGCTACTATCAACAAGAGGAGCATATGAAGCCAGGTAGGCTTGTCCGGGCACAGTGGCTCATGCCTGTAATCCCAGCACTTTGGGAGGCTGAGGCGGGCGGATCACCTGAGGTCAGGAGACCAGCCTGCCCAACACGGCGAAACCCTGTCTCTACTAAAAATACAAAAAAATAGCCAGGCGTGGTGGTGGGTGCCTGTAATCCCAGCTACTCGGGAGGCTGAGGCAGAAGAATCGCTTGAACCCAGAAGGTGAAGGTTGCAGTGAACCAAGATCACGCCACTGCACTCCAGCCTAGGCAACAGGAGCAAAACTCCATCTCAAAAAAAAAAAAAAGAAGCCAGGTAGGCCATTGCTATAACTTAGAATAATCATTTACAGTACATTTCTACTGGAAAACCCATTTTTTTTTCCATCGGCACAGGGCAAATGAAGGGTGAATGCAGTGGCATCTCATTAAGGCACTCACAGGGCACTCCTGCCAGCTCCCACTCCTGTGCTGGGAGCCGCCTGACCCAAACGCCGACCATCTCGGCCACAGGAACCTGCACAGTGATCAGGGAGCTGCTTCTGCTGGACCACACAGATGGGAACCAATGTGGATCCGCATGGTGGAAGCACAGCCTAAAGCTCTAATGTTTCAGTTCTTTTTTAAGGAAAAGTCAGAAACTTCTGAGCTCAGAATCTCCGCATTCTGCCAAGCCTTATGCCCATGGAATAAGAAAACATGACATAGCGGGCTAGTCGAGGTCGTCCCGTCCCAGGGATGGTTAGTGGGCACCCAGGCTGGCCCAGGTACTCCCTGAGCCAATGTTTGGTGAGTTGATGTGATGGGAGCCGATGGGGTGGGCTCGAAGCTTAATCCATTACAGAAGCACAATGGATTTTTGAGTACCTATTTCCACGTGAGGTGGGATCTGTGAAGACAGGAAGAGTGTAGGCTAACCATGCACTCTCTAGAAACATCACTGGTACACACGACCACCCCAACAAGTCCTCATCCTCTGCCGCCTTTGGCAATTAGTACAAAGTCAAGAAAAGCCAAGAGCACTGGAAATACCCGCAGAGATTGCCTAAAATTAATCAATAAAAGAGGGCAGAGTGAAGAATATCTTTCAAGACAGAACTGAGGCTCCACAAAGCTCAGGTCGCACCTAAGATCTAGAATGACTCTGCCTCTGGTCACAACATTAAACGTGTGTCATTCCTGCTAAACGTGTGTCATTCCTGCTAACAAAGAACTAATATCTGTTGTCAAATACATTCTATATATGCCCCAGTGCCTCATCACACTGGATGTGTCCTTCATTGATCTGTGAAACAAACAACAAAAATTGATCAATTTTGTTGATAAACTGAGCAGGCCTTCAGAGAAGTCCTTTCTTCTGTGCATTGCTTTAGCTCTGTGAGACACATTTATTACAAGGAGACAGAGTTGTGTCTGTCTTGAGCAGACTCTGAGAGTAATGGAGGGCCGAGGCTAGCTTTTCCTGTCAACACCTTCAGGAGGTAGGGGGCGAACTGTTCTAAGGCCCTGCAGTTTCACCCCTGCACCTGTATTATCTTCAGACAAGTGCACCAACTGGATGGCCTCACTTAGAAGACACACAGAGAGATACACACTCAAGAAAATACAGAGTTACACACACACACAGAAAGAGACAGAAAGAACAGGAAATGGCATTTCTGCCTTGTAACCACCATCATCTTGTTCAAAATTGCTAGCAAATTCAATTAATCAAGAAATTATTTGCCAGTAATAAGGCAGGCAAACTAATCGGATGAGAATTATGGGGAAGTGCTTAGAAAATAAAAAGTATGTATCAAGATTTCAAGTAATACAGATAAACAAAATGTGTGATATCCATACAATGGAATATTATTCAACCATAGAAAGGAATGAAGTTCTGAGCCATGTTATAACATAGAGAAGCCCTGAAGACATCAGGGTACCAGTGAAAGAGGTCGGGCACAAAAGAACAAATATTTCATGATCCCATTTCTGAGGTACCGAGAATAGGCAAATTTACAGACAGAAAATAGATTCAAGGTTACCAGTGGTGAGACAGGAGGTACTGCGGAGCTACCGCTTAATGGGTACAGAGTTTCTGTTTGGGATGATGAAAAAATTTTGAAAACAGAAAGTGGAGATTATTGCACAATGCTGTGGACGTACTTAATGTCACTGAACTCTACAAGTAAAAATGGCTAAAATGGCAGACATGGTGTTTTATATATTACCACAATTTAAGGAGAATAATATACCAAAAACACAGAATGGTACTCTTTAAAGAAGTGAACTGTATGATCTCTGAATTTATACATCAATAAAGCTATTTTTAAGAAAATTTTTCAGCCAGGTGTGATGGTGTCAACTTGTAGTCCTAGCTACTCCAGACGCCAAGGCGGAAGAATGGCTTGAGCCCAGGAGTTCAAGAGCAGCCTGGGCCACGTAGCAAGAGCCCGCCACTAAAAAGAAAAAGGAGAGATTTCAAGTAGCACTGGGGGCTTCCTGACCACCCTGTCTAGAACAGCATACACCTGCTTCCCCTCTATCCTCTATCACAGCCGTTATCACAATGTGTAACTTATTCATCTGTAGTCATTTTCAGAGCCCAGAGCCCACTTCCTCTCCCAATCATGAGTGTAGGCGCCAAGTCCACCGTAATAGGGACCATGAGGGGTCTCGGTGCCTGCTCAAACGTGGTGCTGAATACACGATTACAGAACGAGGGGATAAAGTAGGTAAATAAGGAATGGAGAAGGTAAAAAATGGACAAAAACCGGGTGCAGTGGCTCACGCCTGTAATACCAGCACTTTGGGAGGTTGAGGCAGGCAGATCATTTGAGGTCAGGAGTTCAAAACCAGCCTGGCCAACATGGCGAAACTCCGTCTCTACTAAAAGTACAAGTATTAGCCAGGCATGGTGGTGCACGCCTGTAGTCCCAACTACTACTCGGGAGGCTGAGGCAGGAGAATTGCTTGAATCCGGGAGGTGGAGGTTGCAGTGAGCTGAGATCGCGCCACTGCACTCCAGCCTGGGCGACAGAAAGAGACTCCGACTCAGAACAAAAAAAAAAAAAAAAAAGAAAGAAAGAAAGAAATGAACGAAAACCATAAAAGAGGAAAAAGACGCCTATATCACCTGACAAGGAGGCATACAGGGAAATGCCAACACGTGGGCACATCACAGACCACGTACTGTTTGCAGCATCCAAGAGGAGAAAGCGGGCCTTGCACGTTGCTAATCCTGGAGTCAGCAAATTTTCCCACACCTCCGCTGGCCACACCCACCTGAACCTGAACCACCCCCACCACCACCCACACAACGTGCACTGGAAAGAAACAATTCTCAAGGAAAAGACTGGAGATGCACCCACCTTTGGTTCCAATATTTTCATGACTGTGCCTTGCAGAATCATAGTTGTGGTGTCTCAAACACAACATTGAAAATGAAAGAGTCAGGCCAGGTGCGGTGGCTCACGCCTGTAATCCCAGCACTTTGGGAGGCCGAGGCGGGTGGATCACGAGGTCAGGAGATCGAGACCACCCTGGCTAACATGGTGAAAATGGCAAAACCCCATCTCTACTAAAAAAATCCAAAAAAATTAGCCGGGCGAGGTAGCGGGCGCCTGTAGTCCCAACTACTCGGGAGGTTGAGGCAGGAGTATGGCGTGAGCCCGGGAGGCGGAGCTTGCAGTGAGCCGAGATCATGCCACTGCACTCCAGGCTGGGCAACAGACCGAGACTCCATCTCAAAAAAAAAAGAAAATGAAAGAGGCCAGGCGCGGTGGCTTATGCCTGTAATCCCAGCACTCTGGGAGGCCAAGGTGGGTGGATCACGTGAGGTGAGGAGTTTGAGACCAGCCTGGCCAACATGGTAAAACACCGTCTCTACTAAAAATATAAAAATTAGCTGGGCGTGGTGGGACACACCTGTAATCCCAGCTACTCAGGAGGCTGAGGCAGTAGGATCACTTGAACACAGGAGGTGGAGGCTGCAGTGAGCCAAGATTGCACCACTGCACTCCAGCCTGGGTGACAGAGTGAGAGTCTCTCTCAAAAAAAAAAAAAGAAAAAAAAAAAAGAGTCAGCCAATCACACCCTTGAGGAGGAATTTGTTTTCATTTTTCCCAGGATATGTGTTTCCCGGGGGGGAAGTACCTAGAGCTTGAATCATTGTAAAATGCTCAAGCAAATCACCTATTTGGATGATGCTGGTCAACTTGGACCACAGCTGGAAATGGGAAAGTAAATCTCCTCCTAGATTTCATATTCAATCAACCAGCTCAACCAGCTCTTTCTCCATCCTTGGATGAAGACTGTATTGCAGGAGCTGGTTACTCCCTGCCCTCAGGGTCTCAGAGAGGCTTCCAGAAGAAGGGGCTACCATGAAGTAATGGAGGAGGGAGCTGGAGAGAAGGGACCTAGAGTCAGAGAAGACAACACTGTGGCTCAGCAGAGCAGACAGGGATGGGGGAGAAGGCAACCATGGGGGCGTTCCCAGAGACGCTTCAGTGAGAAGGAAACTTCTAGCTTGAGGTAGGGGATGGTGAGGAAAGAAATGTGAAAAGGAAGGCTGGTATGATTTCCTGGAGTTCCCTTCCCCTGGCAGTGGGAGCTTCTGGGTTTTAAGCTGGGGCTGGGTGACAGGATCCCATGGGCAACTGAGTCCAGTCCTCACGGCGGCTCTGCCCGCCCTGCCAGGCCTCCTGCCCTGGGTTCCTCAAGCCTGGACTGAAAGAAGTCATGGAGAGGTCTGGCCATGAACGCAGGGCATGAGAGAGGCTGGAGGGTGGCTGTGCAGGAAGATGGAGATGAGAGGGGCATTTTACAGTATAAGGAGGGTGATAGGCAGCAGGGACAGAGGAAGAGGAGAAGGCAAAATGGAAATTGGCATGGGGGTGGGGTCTGAAGGAGCAGGACTCTTGGAAGTGCAGCAGAGGGAGCCTTCCCTAGAAAGAAAGCAAGTCTGCGGTATCAAGATGTGAAGCAGTGACGTCACCCTAGGTGGCCTCGATCTCCTCTATAAAAGGTCAGAGAAAATGGGGAACAAGTTGTACTGTAAGGGAAAGAGCTAGAATAGCCCACATAAGGACAACTGGAGGCACAGACTTATTACGCAGCAATGGAGGATGCCCAGGGAGATTTGGACGCATGACTTTACAGAGTTCAATACCTTGATTTTTTTTTTTTTTTTTTTTTTTTTTTTTTGAGACAGGGTCTCATTTTGTCACCCAGGCTGGAGTGTAGTGGCGTGATCTTGGCTCACTGCAACCTCCGCCTCCCCGGCTCAACCAATTCTTGTGCCTCAGCCTCCCAAGCAGCTGAGACTACAGACTTGCACCACCATGCCCTGATAATTTTTGTGGAGGGTTTGTTTTTTGTTTTTTGTAGAGACAGGGTCTTCCTATGTTGCCCAGGCTGGTCTCGAACTCCTGAGCTCAAATGATCCACTTCAGCCTCCCAAAGTGCTGGGATTACAGGCATGAGCCACCACATCTGGCCAACAGCTTAATTAAAAAAACAATAACAATAAAAAGCTTTTGCCAGATATTAACTAGTATTTTCTTCTTGTTTTATGGGTTTTTACACTGAACTTTCTAATACCTGGAATTTGTTTTGGTGTTTGGCGCGACATGACGGTCCTGAACCAGGGAGGGAGCTGTTTCCCCAGGGGTATCTGGAAACAAGTCAGAAACAAACTTCCACGGGGTAGGAGTCAGGGAAGCTGAATGTCCGGAGTGCACAGCACAAACCTGAGCAAGGAAAGATCATCTTGGCTGTGGTGCCAATGGAACTGCCACTGAGAAACACAATGAGCTGTTTTCTTCCCAACAAGCCAACCGCTAATCCCAGCACCATTTGATTGATGCACCCATTCAATCCTACACGCGACAAGAAATGCTGAGTGTCTCCTCAAAGCCCAGTCCTCTTCCAAGCAGCACTGGTACAAACAAATCAGATGCTCGCATTTGCCCTTTCTCCCGTCGATTTCAAAACCTTCACATAAAAACGCCATTTAAGTGCTCTGAAATTCATAAACAACTTTAAAGGGCTGGCAAATTATTGCTAAGCAGAAGTCTCGTTGGTCCTGATAAGAAGTACTTGTAATAAATGTTTAACAACGCATGCCAATATTAAAGCTAAGTGTTTGTTCTTGTAAAGCAGATTAAACAATATGACCATGTCATGCTGATATCACGGGTTTGCTCAACAAACTCCTGTCTCATAGATACTGGCTCCAGCCAACTTCGGTCTAACCCTGTTGACTGTCACTTGGCATTCCAAATGTATGAGGGTCTTGATTAATGACGTTTCACTGGTTTCACTTATATAACAAGACAATTTCAGGTGTTAATTGTCCTATCTGTTTATACGTGCTAGACTGTGGCTAATTTTTAAAGACGGGCGCTTAGTAATGTGGGCATTGAGTCAATACACAGAAAGTCTAAGCAAACAGCGGAGTTTTCTCGTTAGTTCACTGCCTGTCTCTGGACTGAACATGGTGCATATTACAGCTGTATCACTGTGTCACCCATAAAGAACATGACTCCGAGGCTCGCTGATGAGTGCAACTGTTTCCTGGGCATTATGTCTGCACTAGAGATGAAATATTACTTTACAAAGTCCCCACATCTCTGACCATGGGCATGGAACTTAAACGCTTTAGGTCTGCAAAATGAGCTGGCTGGGCTGAAGCCAGCTGTGGAAACCCCCAGAAGGAGGTATGGGGAGTGCCTATTTTTAGAATTTCCAAAGACACAACAGAAACTACACATTTACCCACAATACGATGGCTCAGGCTAAACCACATTTGGTTGAATGATGTCAATTCAACATGCAGTGACCAGTCTTACCCCCAGAACAGAAGCCTCTTTGGCAGCTGGGTCTCTCCTTTATCAACAAAAATTTAAAGGAAATTACTTAATGCTCAAAAATACAGTTTTCCAGCCAGGCGCGGTGGCTCATGTCTATAATCCCAGCACTTTGGGAGGCTGAGGCAGGCGGATGGAGGTCAGGAGTTCAAGACCAGCCCGACCAACATGGAGAAACCCCATTTCTACTAAAAATACAAAAATTAGCCAGGTGTGGTGGCGCATGCTTGCAGTCCCAGCTTCTCGTGAGACTGAGGCACGAGAATCACCCACGAGGCAGAGGTTGCAGGGAGCTGAGATCATGCCACTGCACTCCGGTCTGGGTGACAGAGTGAGACTCCATCTCAAAAAAAAAAAAAATTTTTAAAAACACAGTTTTCTTGGTCATTACGGATTAAAATCTAAGGTCCCTTACGTTCTAAAACTCTATCATTCTAACTTTCAAAGGAAGTTATTCATACCAAGAATAACTCAATCTCAGCATCACCCTGTACAATACATAATGAACAGTAACAAACAGCTTTCTCTCCTAGCTTTCCTACACTTGTTTAAATCTTTGCAACTAATTAAGGTGTACCTATTTATAAGGCATACCATATTTCCAAAAAGAATTAGACACAACTGTATATTCTCTGAAGATACTAAGAAAAGGTCTGGATTTGCCCAGTTAGGAGTTTCTTCCTCAATTTCTTGCTTTTAGAAAAGCTCAAATAAGGCCGGGCGCAGGGGCTCACGCCTGTAATCCCAGCACTCTGGGAGGCCAAGGTGGGCGGATCACCTGAAGTCAGGAGTTCGAGACCAGCCCAACCAATATGGAGAAACCCTACCTCTACTAAAAATACAAAATTAGCTGGGCGCGGTGGCGGACACCTGTAATCCCAACTACTGGGAAGGCTGAGACAGGAGAATCACTTGAACCTGGGAGGCGGAGGTTGCGGTGAGGTGAGATCACACCATTGCACTCCAGCTGGGGCAACAAGAGCGAAACTCAGTCTCAAAAAAAAAAAGAAAAAGAAAAGCTCAAAAAACTACATGCCCATTTTTGTCTCTTTTATCTTTTTTCTTTTTTTTTTTTCCAAAAGCAACAGGAAAGTTTTCAATTGGCCCCAGTACTACCACCTGCCACAAGATATCAAGAACTGGGAAACCAGGGACCTGCTCTGTGACATGGATGAGTCTCACGTCTGCAATGGTAACATCAGGGCCAAAACAACCACCCTACTTCAAGGCCTATTATGGAAGAACAGTTGAGATGCTGATGGGGGAAAAAACACACTTAGAAGTTCAATGCATTATACAATATAGTTGTTACAATACAAATTATTATTAATAAAATTATTTTAAAGTATACTGAATTTTTTGCAAATCAAATATTTTTAAATGCATTAACAGGGAGGTTTCTATCCCCATTCTCTGCAGGAATTCTATGGTGCACGCCTTCATAAATGAAAAATAAATCACCTAAAAAACCAATTCTGCATCCCAGATTTACATTCAATAGTAAATTTTGAGTCTTTATAGAATAGCTGTTCATGTAAATACTTCAAGAGACAATTTTTTGAGTGCCCACTCTTCTGGAAACTGAGCTAAGAAACATCATCAATCATCTCACTGAATCCTCACAAGTAAAGTGGGATCGATTATCACCTTTATCCAAGAAAGACAGGTGGGCACGGAGCGAGGACTCACCCAAGGTCCCACACCCATGAAGGGGTGAACAACGTCCACCTGAAACCAGAACCGGTGTTCTAAGCCATTCTGCAGTTCTGCAGGGCAGATGTCCATGTGAACACAAGCTGGCAAGCGGATGCCAACTTGTTGTAAATCACTTTCAAACACCAGCTCACAACTTTTCACTGCATCTGGCTTCACGTGTCCAACGTGGTCCTCAGATCGCATCATTAGGGCTTCTGCCTTCTTCCTGAGTACTTCCACACATTTGCTGCTTGTTCCTTTTCTGCTAACAAACAGATCAACATAAATTGCTTAAGTAGACAATGCAGGCAAAACAAGAAAGCAAAACCGAAGGGAAAAAGGAAAAAAAAAAGCCTGCTTGCAGGTTATAATCCTGGAGCCGTATTTCTGCCAGAATGATGTATCTTATTCTAGCCCTGGAGAGCTCCAGGCTGAGGTCTCTCCAATCCACGCAATTCTGCGCATCTGGAACTCATCACCTTTTGCCCACATAAACCTGGTCCTGTGTATATCCTCAGTAGAAGGCACCAATCACCAATTACCCAAGCAGGAGACCTGTTAGCCCTTCACTTCCAACTGATGCTCCTAAATCCAAAATGATCCCAATGAAGTGACTGCCTCAGGGATCCTTTTGTCTATCCTGCCCCTCCAACCCCACTGCTGATTTGGGGCACTAACCTCTCCCTGACTCCCCTGTTCCAGGACTCCACGAGCAATTTAACTGGAATCCCTAACGCCAGTCTTAAGACTTTTTAACGACAGCTCCAAAGTGGTCTTTCAAACACACAAAAAAGCTAATCATGTTTCTGTTTAATTTCCTCACTGACAGGATAAAAACCAAATGACTAAGTGTGGCATAAAAAGTCCCACTTGGGAGGCCGAGGCAGGCGGGTCACTTGAGAGCAGGAGTTTGAGACTAGCCCGAGTAACATGGCAAAACCCTGTCTCTACAAAAAACAAAAATTAGCTGGGCATGGTGGTGCCCGCCTGTGGTCCCAGCTACCCAGTAGGCTGAGGTGGGAGGATCAATTGAGCCTGGGAGGTAGAGACTGAAGTGAGCTGTGATCACATCACTGCACTCCAGCCTGAGCAACAGATTGAAATGCTGTCTCAAAAAATGGCAGTCAGGCGCGGTGGCTCGTGCCTGTAATCCCAGCACTTTGGGAAGCCGAGGCACGCAGATCACTTGAGGTCAGGAGTTCGAGACCAGCCTGGCCAACATGGCAAAACCCTGTCTCTATTAAAAACACAAGGCGACAGAGCGAGACTCCATCTCAAAAAAATATATATATATACAAAAATTAGCTGGGCATGGTTGCACCCACCTGTAATTCCAGCTACTAGGGAGGCTGAGGCATGAGAATAGCTTGAACCCGGCAGGCGGAGGTTGCAATGAGCGGAGATCGCGCCACTGTACTCCAGCCTGGGTGACAGAGCAAGATTCTGTCCATATATATATATATATATAGTCTGAGAATATATATATTCCCGGACAACCAAAGCCTCTTTTCAGCTTTCTCTCTCACTACTCCCCTATACATGCCTGAATGCCAAAACAGACCGTCTTCTCATTCATCCATCCTCTGTGTCTCAGGACCAAAGCTGGTCTACCAGCTTGGAAGCCCTCTCTCTCTTGCTCACCTGGTAAACTCCTACCCATCCCTCAAGCCACAGGCCCAGCTCACCTCCTCTGTGAAGCCTTCCCTGAGTCTCCCAGACAAACTGAGGCACCCTGACGGCCCCCTTCTGAGGCTCCTTGTGGGAGCCTCCCTATCTGCCAGCCCCTCCACACTGTTGTACAGATCCTTCTCCCTAGGGAATGTGCTCCCTGACCCCAGGGCTCAGCACTGGCTGTTTTTGTGCCCCCAGCACCTAACACAGGCCCAAGAACAAAGTAGAGGCTCAGACTGATTAAGTAGCTATTAG
Organism: Homo sapiens; assembly: GCF_000001405.40. Lineage (NCBI taxonomy): Eukaryota > Metazoa > Chordata > Mammalia > Primates > Hominidae > Homo > Homo sapiens. The sequence goes on along the minus strand of NC_000010.11, from coordinate 12,401,437 downwards.
GAGAGACAACATACATGGGAAGGAAAAGTAACTGGTGGTTTTATAATTTCTTTGGGGAGGTATATCAGGCCTGGAATCTGATTTGAGCTTTATATATATTATATATATATAAAATATATACATAATATATATAATACATATATTATATATATATAAAATATATACATAATATATATAATACATATATTATATATATATAAAATATATATATAATATATATAATACATATATTATATATATATAAAATATATATATAATATATATAATACATATATTATATATATATAAAATATATATATAATATATATAATACATATATTATATATATAAAATATATATATAATATATATAATACATATATTATATATATAAAATATATATATAATATATATAATACATATATTTATATATTATAAAACAATCTATAAAGGAGAAAGGTAAAGACAGAAAAGGCATTCCTTTTTTGTTTGTTTTTCTGGTTTTGTAGAGACAGGGGCCTCGCTATATTGCACAGGTTGGTCTTGAGCTCCTGGGCTCAAGCAATCTGCCCACCTCGGCCTCCCAAAGTTCTGGGTTTACAGGTGCGAGCCACTGTGCCTGGCCCAGGAAAGGTACTGCTAGACCAGAGGTCTGTCCTGAAGGATGAGAGGAATTAAACCAGAAGAACGCATTTCCTGGAGGCCTACGTCACACTCTGGTACAGTTGTAAGTCTCCATCTGTGAAAACATAAAGCCCTCAAGTGGGGATTCCAGAGAAATCAGGTCACATCTCAAAATACACTCAGTCCCTCAGAAGATAAAGTTCTCAACATCAAGACAATTACATTTTATATACTATTTAGTAGGGATTAAAATTTGTAGAGCTAGCGGCTATTAAGAAAAAAGTTTAAGCTACGTGAAATCAGAGAATAAATCACGGTTCTGAATGTAAATTGGGAGTCTTGGGCAGCTTCCAAACTCTGCACTCCTCTTCTGAGGTCTTTTATCTTCCGGTGATATAAGCTATAGTCAAATAATAAAAGAGTCACTGAGATGCTCTTCTCCTTACTCAGCACTTCGCTTGACTGCTCAGACTTTAGGTACGCAGCAAGAAGTGAGCTCACAGTGAAGTTTAAACGGCAAAGGCACTTCCCATCATTAGAAATCCTCCTTTGGATGCACTCAGAAGACTTTCCAATGGTTGCCACTCTGTTAGGGGACTGCTTCCAAAGACTGTCTTGTAAAAATTAAATGCTTGCCACTCCCTTGAAATTCCGAGTTAAAAACCTACCTACCTAGACATTATCCTGAAATTATTTCTTAAATTCCTAAAGTCGTAACATCCAGGCGCAAATGACATCCCATCGCGTCACATCATCTGCAGTAGTTATGTTTTCAGAAGTTGCCGTGAATGCCGTATTAGCCAATACTGAACCATTGCTCCTAGGGGAGAAACAGGACTAGGTTCCTACAGGCCTCTCTAGTCACATCATCTCACCAATATAGAACTTTGCTTTATGTGTGTTTCTGTTTAAAGACATGTCATTTAACACATATTGTTGATTCATTAATATTGAACTCACAGCCATCAGCACCACAACTCATGCTTGAAGAAACTAACATTACAAATTTTCTCTGCAAGGTACCTTACAGCCTTTCCACACTTAGGAACACTAGACACTTCTGAACTATGCTTGGGGCTACTTTAAGCAGCAAAATCACCAACAAAAATGCAAATACATTTTAGTGAATAGGTGAATTTGCAAATACAGAATCCACAAAAACTGTGGAAGCACTATAGTTTGTTTTACTCTTATGACATTACTGGCATATAGTGCAAACCCCTTCATTAGGTGTCATAGTAGGGGTGTCCCAACAGATCTAAGCCATGGTGTGGCTCCTATCCTTAGGAACCCTGCAGTCCAGCAATGACCCTCAACTTCTTTTTTTTTTTTCAGACGGAGTCTTGCTCTGTCACCCAGGCAAGAGTGCAGTGGTGCGATCTCAGCTCACTGCAACCTCCACCTCCCAAGTTCAAGTGATTCTCCTGCCTCAGCCTCCCAAGTAGCTGGGATTACAGGCGCCTGCCACCACACCCAGCTAATTTTTGTATTTTTAGTAGAGACAGGGTTTCACCATGTTGGCCAGGCTGGTCCAAACTCCTGACCTCAGGTGATCCACTGCCTCGGCCTCCCAAAGTGCTGGATTACAGGTGTGAGCCACCACGCCCAGCCGGCCCTCAACTTTTATCTTCCTGGATATACTTGGGGACTACCTCCCACTCCCTCACACCAGTAAGCCTCAAGGAGACCATGGTTTGAGAGCACTCCCATACCACCTTCACCCACCTCTATGCATATTTCAATACCATTCCCAGTAGGGCATGCTCCTTCCACTCAAGAGAGACCTGCTAGAAAGGAAAAGGCTAACAGCAGCAACTGTGATGCAGGCAGAATAAATAATGTGACACAGAAATCGGCAAGAGTCCAAAGAACTCACTGAGGGACTGCTATGAAAAACTCCTATCCCATCTACTCAGTTACATCTGGTTTCTTTGTACTAACATCTATAAAAACACAAAAATAGGAAAAGGACTAATTCTGACCTCCTTATCCCAGCAATGAGTAATCTTCATCCATATCAAACAACTGAAAGAAAAAAAAAAGACCCCAAAAACTCTATGGATTTTTATTAGGAGATATATTTCCAAATAAATTCTATATTCTCCTTTTATTTATCAAAATTTATAATATCTTTGTTTTGTTCAAATGTAGAATCATCATCACAATAACTAAATACAACAACTTTTGGGCTGGGCACGGTGGCTCATGCCCGTAATCCTAGCACTTTGGGAGGCCGAGGCGGGCGGATCACCTGAGGTCAGGAGTTCAAGACCAGCCTGGCCAACATGGTGAAACCCCGTCTCTTCTAAAAATATAAAAATTAGCCAGGCATAGTGGCAGGCACCTGTAATCCCAGCTACTCAGGAGTCTGAGGCAGGAGAATCACTCGAACTCCGGAGGCAGCGGTTGCAGTGAGCTGAGACCGCACCACTGCACTCCAGCCTGGGCAACAAGAGTGAAACTCCATCTCTAAAAATAAAGAAATAAATACAAGAAGCTTTGAAAATATGTAGGCCCTCTAGCCACAGGAAACTTAATTTAAATGTATATACATATTTTTGGCAAGAACAAATATAATATCCTAGGATAAAATTCTATGAGAATAGAATATGACTCTAAAGAAAAAAAAAGAATGAGGTAGAAATTCCAGTGGTTAAAGATGAGCTTCTTTTTAAATGGATGACAGTGGGTATCAAATCTCTGTGGTATTTAGCTCCACTGGTTACACTTAAAATAATGATGTAACTGTTTTATTTCAAGATGCCAATATTTACAATACTCTGGAAATAACATCCTTTGCCTCTCTCAAGTTACGATGAAAAATTTTGGCTATCAACTCAAAGTGTGGGAGGGGGTAGACGGCTTTACAAAATTATTTTAGAAATCAGGTGAATAAAAAGCCGAGTTGGGCCCCTCGAAAAGAAGCTCACCCCTCAGTTCCAGCCTAGGCCAGGTCTTTACATTTTTCAAGAGAAGCTGGAAATCTGGATTTTCAATGTACAGTTTACCTGCGATTTTTTCTGGTATGTTGATTCAAAAACTTTTCAACAGCATGCAAGCCAAACTAAACACATCTTTAGGCCAACATTTTTCCTACTACCTTGGCTCTAAGCAACACTCACCCTCTTCAGTCAATTTTTCTGTGCACTTCAAGGAGGTTCACTCATTCAAGAGACCATCACTGAGCGCTTCCTGGTGTACCAGGCACTCACCTAGGCCCCAGGGTCACAGGGATGGCTGAAATACTAGCCCTCCCCTCAAGGACGGCACAGCGGAAGAGGAAACTGACAGGTAACCAACATTTTCAATGCAGTCTGTTCAATTCAGGGCTAGAGTTAGGACTGGGGAGAGTGGCCTACAGGACCTCCGCTTGGGTAGGTCAAGAATAAATGGTTTTATCTGCAAAGCCGTGTGGGGGAAGAGAAGCCAGGACTGGAAGAAAAAAGGTGTGACTCCATGTTAGTGACTCAGCAGGGCTACCTTAGAAGGCTCCAAGGGTCAAGGACACACAAAGCAGACGGAACCAAAGGTCATGGCCATCCTAGGGCGCTTGAAAGAACAGAACACCTGCAGGAGACAAAAACCAGCCCCGCTCATTTTCAGCTCTTATGTTAAAAACAGGCACATGATGGAAATAAACCATTGAGACGAGATCCAAAAATAATCTTAACTGGGCACCAAAGCTCATAGAAAAATCCTTATTTTAATCACTTCTGTAAGGCAGCTGAAAGGTACAGACACCAAACTCAGCTTGGGAAGCAATCAACTTAATCTGCTTCTTTGAAAGATTAATTAAAATGGAGATTACCAATGGCTGCGGAGGAGCTGGGTCAGCCGACAGGGCCCAGTCGAGATGAGCGATAAATTGTTTTAAAATCACACAAACACAGCTGTGGGCCAAACACAGAGATGGTGCATAAAATCAGCGTCTTCCTGGGCCCCTCATTCAGCTCCTTACGACTGAGTTAAAAACCCAAACCTCAGGAAGAGCAGAAGGTAGGGCTCTGACACACCAGGCAAGGAGCCTGCCCAGTGGACGTGGACATGGCCACGGGGAGCCTACGTGGCTGGAAGTGCTAAGCTGAACCAGCAACAGCTGCTGCGGGGAGAAGGGCAGAGGCACAGCCTGCAGGAGCTGCCAACACACTTGATCTTAACTCAAAGAAGATTGTAAGTGCTTGTTTAAGCCAATTTCAAGGATCTGCTCAGCTGAAGCCTAGACAGAAAGTTGAGATAGCAAAGCAACAGAAAAGAGATCAAATACCTTCTACATAGCCCTTACATCACAGAGGGCCTGGAAGAAGTGTTCTCCAGTGGAGGGCTACTTTTCCCCCACAGCATATGGCAAAAAGGGGGTTAAGCCAGAGACTCATGAAGACTCTGGTTGGAGGGCCCAGAATGAACCCATTATCCCTGGGCATAAGCCCTGAGAGGGAGAAAACCCCAACAGCAGTCACGAGAAAAATGACGATTTTGGCAACCGTTCCCCAAGTTCTTACCTCCCCAAGAGGAACAGTGGACAATGATGCGGACACAATAGTAAAGAAGACAGGACACCAGCAGCGCCCAGCAGGAGAGGGGCTGACCTTCCAAATTCACTGCTGCTCCGAGTTAAGGAGCCCTGGACCGGGGGCTACTGAACACTTAAAAAACAACTCTTTTGACCAGGCACAGTGGCTCACGCCTGTAAGCCCAGCACTTTGGGAGGCCGAGGTGGGTGATTCACCTGAGGTCAGGAGTTGGAGGCCAGCCTGGCCAACATGATGAAACCCTGTCTCTACTAAAAATACAAAAATTAGCCAGGTGTGGTGGCGGGCACCTGTAATCCCAGCTACTCGGGAGGCTGAGGCAGGAGAATCGCTTGAACCCAGGAGGCAGAGGTTAACAACCCTTTTGTTTTTTGTTTCTTGAGACGGAGTCTCACTCTGTTGCCCAGGCTGGAGTGCAGTGGTGCAATCACGGCCCACAGCAACCTCCGCCTCCTGGGTTCATGCAATTCTCCTGCCTCAGCCTCCTAAGTAGCTGGAACTACCGGCACGCACCACCATGCCCGGCTAATTTTTGTATTTTTCATAGAGATGGCTAATTTTTGTATTTTTCACCATGTTGGCTAGGCTGGTCTCGAACTCCTGACCTCAAGTAATTCACCAACCTCGGCCTCCCAGAATGCTGGGATTACAGGCGTGACCCACTTCGCCTGGCCGAAAAACCAACCCTTCTACAGTAAGTTTTCCCCAGAAGCTAACAGAACATTCCTCACTTACATTAGGTGTCAGAAGCCCTGAATTCCAGCCTGATCCTGGTGGCCCTTTATGATACTGAAAAATATTTATTTTGTCTTAAAGTTTCCTGGCATACAACAATCCTTGGAACCTCCACAGTGATGTCTTTTGTGGGCTAATGAGGTGACTGGTGGCTGAGATTCCCTAGGTGGCTTCAGGATGGGAGCTAGGCACTTCAAAAACCAAGGCAGGATTAGAGGGTTGGGAATTTCAGCCCCATTCCCAAACCTCTGCGGAGGCGGGGGCTGCAGGTCAAGGGGATCACTTGAGGCCAAGGGTTTGGGACCCCCTGGTCTCTACAAAAAAAAATTAATTAAAAAAAATTACTTGGGCGTAGTGGTATGCACCTAGCTACCTGGGAGACTGAGGTGGGAGGACTGCTTGAACCCAGGAGTTGGAGGCTGCAGTTAGCTATGATCGCACCACTGCACTCCAGCCTGGGCAATAGAGTGAGACCCTGTCTCTGCAAAAAAAAAAAAAAAAAAAAATTAAAATTTTAAAAAAATAAAATAAGTGTAACTGTTTACCCTCAGTAAGCAGCTACAAAGTGCACCCCAAGTTGGAGGCACACCATGCTGAGATGGGTGAGCTCACCTGGGCCAGCACCATGTCCCAGCCCTGCCCTCCAAGGCCTCCTGCACGCAGCCTCTTTCCTGCCTGCCACCACACTGGTCCAGGTCCAGATCACAGCCCTGCTACAGGCTCTGAGGTCATTTTCCAAGGCTCAGTTCTGCTCATGTTTCCACATCCTGGATGTGTCACGAGCTAACACTATAAACACTTTAGCCTAGAACTCAAAACCCATCATGATCTGACCTTTACCCCCCTTTCTAACCTGGTTTCCCACTGGTTCCTTCATGCCCAGCTTGCTAATCTCCTCCCACCCTTGATGTCAACGCTACCACCTCCCAGGTGTGGCAGGGTAAGAAATCTATCTTTGGTGTCTGCCTGTGGCTCCTAGCACAGACCTCCGAAAGCCCTTGGAATTTGGAGTGATGGGGTGAAAGGAACATCTCTTGTTATTCATCATAAGCCCCTTTCAAGCATACCTAAGTTTATGCCAATGCGGTGACTCTTGGAAAAGGGGGGCTGGTTACCAGGGGAACCAACCAGGTGATGAGAGAGGGTTGGAATTTGCCAGTCCAGAAAGGGGAGAGGCACTGGAGGTTGAGTCAGTCACCAATGACCAGTGATTTACATCAATCATGGAATCTCCATAAAAACCCTAATTGGAGAGGTCTGGGGAGTTTCTGGTTGGTGAACACCTGGATATGAGGGAGGTGGGGCACCCGGAGAGGACGGCACGCTCCCCTGCTACCTCACCCCACCCTACACCTCGCCCCATGCAACTCTTCTATTTGGCTGTTCCTGAGTTGTATTTGTCATAATACAACTGTAAACATAAGTGTCTCCCTAGATTCTGTGAGCCATTATCGCAAACGATCAAACGTGTGTTGGGATGGTGTGAACCCTCAAAGGATGGCCAGTCGGCCAAAAGCACGAGCCGCAACCTAGGACTTGTGACTGGCGTCTGAAGCGGAGGGGGTGTCGGGAGCGGTCTTGTGGAACTGCCCTCAACCTGGGGGGTCTGCAATACCTGCACATAGTCAGTGTCACAGGTGAATTCTAGGACACACAGGTGTCCAAGAACTGGAGAACTGCTTAATGAGAAGGAAAAACCCACACACGTGTGAGGTGTGGAGCGTAAGCTGCCATTTTCCTTCACCTCCCGCCCTTGATGTCAACACTGTCATCTTCAGGGTAGTGTTCTGGCCGGCATGTCTGCTCAGCCACCGTCCCCACCTTCAGAGCAGGACACTTCCCCATGCCTCAAGTTTGGACACATGCTCACGCGTCCATCATGTCTTCCCCCAGGTGGGCTGGGTGTCTCCATCTCTAAACTCACACAGCATTGATTTGGTCTCTGCTTACAGGATACAGGGAGTGTCTCCCAAAGCTGGGCCTGAAGCTCAACTCAGCCACTTAATTCGCTGAATGTCCCTGGGTGAGAAAATTAAAATGTCTGACCCCATCTCACTGAGGTCAGGAGGACAGATGGTGGTAACACACATCTAAAACGCTTGCCGTGTTTTCCATTCTTTTCACCCATAACACTATGAGTTCCTTGAGTGAAATGTTTTTGCCTCTCTCAGAGAGCCTAGCACCATGAGTTGCATTCAGTAGGAGCTAAAAGAAAATGTATTCCTTAAAAAAGGAAGAAAAGGCCAGGCGCAGTGTCTCACGCCTGTAATCTCAGCACTTTGGGAGGCCGAGGCGTGCGGATCACAAGGTCAGGAGATCGAGACCATCCTGACTAACATGGTGAAACCCCATCTCTACTTAAAATACAAAAAATTAGCCAGGCATGGTGGTGGGCGCCTGTAGTCCCAGCTACTTGGGAGGCTGAGGCAGGAGAATGGCGTGAACCCGGGAGGCGGAGCTTGGAGTGAGCAGAGATTGCACCACTGCACTCCAGCCTGGGCAACAGAGCAAAACTGTGTCTCAAAAAAGAAAAAAAAAAAAAAAGTTATGTTTCAGATCCATTCATGACAGTCGATGAGCAGTCAGTTGTAGCTAAGAACCTGGTCCAGATCAGGGTATGTGTGTGTGTGTTGTGTGTGTGTATACTTTCAAAACTAGGAAAATTTGGAAGAAAAATTGAGGCTTACTATGTTTAAACTCATCAAAATTTCTAATGAAGTTGTTTTTTCACTAGAATGTAATATGGTGGTTACCTGGGCCTGGGGGTCAGGGGGTTGGGGAGACTTTTGTCAAAGGATACAAAATTTCAGCTGGGAGGAAAAAGTTCGAGAGATCTATTGTACAACATAGTGACTATGCTCAATAACAATGTATATGCTCTCAAAAATTGCTAAGACAGTAGATTTTAAGCATTCTCACTACAAAACAAGTATGTTAAGTAATACATATATTAACTAGATCAATTTAGTCATTCCACAGTGTATACGTATTTCCAAATAACATATGGTACATGATAATAAATAAAAAGGAAGAAAATTCTGACAAATGCTATAATGTAGATGAACCATAAGGAAATTATGCTGAGTAGAATAAGGTAATCTCAACAGGCTAAGTACTGTATGATGCTACTTATGGGAAGTCCTTAGAGTAGATAAATTCAGGAACAAAGTAGAATGGTAGGTGTCAGGGGCTGGGGGGAGAGGGAAGGAGGAGTTGTGGGGGTTTTGTTATGTTTTTTGTTTTTGATTTTTGATTTTGTTTTGTTTTTTTGAGACAGAGTCTTGCTGTATCACCCAGGCTGGAGTGCAATGGCACCATCTCGGCTCACTGCAGCCTCCACCTCCTGGGTTCCAGTGATTCTCCTGCCTCAGCCTCCCGAGTAGCTGGGATTAAAGGTGCACACCACTGCACCCGGCTAATTTTGTATGTTTAGTAGAAACGGAGTTTCACCATGTTGGTCAGGCTGGTCTCGAACTCCTGACCACAGGTGATCCACCACCTTGGCCTCCCAAAGTGCTAGGATTATAGGTGTGAGCCACCATACCCAGACTGTTTGTGTGTGTGTGTGTGTGTGTGTGTGTGTGTGTGTGTGTGTTTTAAGACAAGTCTCGCTCTGCTATCCAGGCTGGAGTGCAGTGGTGCAATTACCATTTATCTGATTTTCAAATCATTTCACCATTTTCAGTTATATGAGCTGTTAATGACAGTAACTATCCCATAAATTTAGTATAGATACCCCAGATTGTTCTGAGGGAGAAACTCTATTTTGAGTCCTGGATGATTCGGTTCTAGTCTTCCTAATTTCCTTATGCTTGCCATTACAGTGCACTGTATATGGCACTGTGAGGAAGATAGAATTCTTATTCTCAAATTCACCTGCTGGTACTGTAAGGACATTTTAACAGACCTCCTAAATTTAACCGACTAGGGTGTTTTGTTTTTCTTTAAGAAACATTTGAAAATCATCCTCCCGAAAGGGAATATTTTATTCATGCCAGTTTAAGTAGTGACAGGAAAATATTCAGTACTTAAAATGGAATTTTTTTTAAAAAAAACGGTCAGCATGAATTTCCACAGGCATCTGGAAAATTGGCAAAAGAATTAAGAATGTGAAAAGCAACCGGTGATCCCAGCTGGGGTGAAACTGCCTTCCTGTGGAAACCCTGAATAGAAGATAAGCTTCTAAGATTGATTGCTTGATGTATTTTCTTCACGTGTCATACCGACCTAAGACTGCTTTAGGAATTCCCACAGACAATCCCCTGGAAAGTTAATTTACATAGTGATTCCAATTTAATCAGAGAAAAAAAAGCGCACACCTACAGCTTGTTCCCAGGGCCCCACACGAGCTTGAAGTTAAAGTATTTTATTTTGTATTGAGAATAACAAGAATCCAGGCAAAGATCTTAAAAGTTCAATCTTTCCCCTCTACCCTTCATGGCCAAAAGACTGAGATACCAACGTATCATGGCCTGAGAAAGGGTTTTCCTCATTCACGAGAGAAGACAGTGTTGGCCCAACACTGAGCTCTGGAGTTTTTGCCAGAACTGAGCTTGGACCCCTTCCCACCTCCTACTCACTCAATGCTGGACTCTGAGCACATTAGTTGACCCCACACAGAATCTCATCAAGTTGATTCATAAAGTCAGGACTATGCACAGCATCCTCTTATTCACGCACGCTTGAGCCTGAGTTCATTCTGAATCTAGTGGGCCAGAAGGATGGCTCCGTGGGGACAGCTGGACCCGTATTCCAGGCTTGGATAGGTGACTCGCTCACTAGCTGTGTGATCTCAGGCAAGTCCCTCAACCCTTCTGGGCTCCCCTTTCCTCTTGGGTCCTTTACACGTTCGACTAGAAGCTTCTGCTCCCACGTGACATGACCCAAGGGGGAACACACAGACTGGAAACAGGCAGGCTGCACAAGTCCCGGAGCTCATGGTTAGCCCTGGCCCTGCACTCTTACCTGGGTTTTGCCTGGGCACAATGGACCCTATTCTACCCTCAACTAGTTGTAGGATCTTGAATAATGGGGCTTAACTTTCTGTGCCTGATGATAAAGACAGTTTAGAGACAGACGCAGAGACAGATATAGTGACAGAGATAAAGACAGAGACAGAGCTAGAGATACAATGTCTCTTCTAGCTCTAGAATTCTACTTATATGAGAAATTCCTTCCATTCTGAATAAAACAGAAACTAAGGTTGAGCAAAGTGGCTCGTTCCTATAATCCCAGCAATTAGGAAGCTGAGACAGGAGGATCACTTGAGGCCAGGAGTTTGAGACCAGTCTAGGCAATGGAGCAAGACCCCATCTTTTTTTTTAATTTTTAAAAAATAGAGACAACTACTTTATAGTTCTTCGGCCACTGGTGCAAATCACTAGCAAATGCAGTATGAAAATTTTGCATCAGCCTAGAATAAGGACACCGTGCAGTACAAGCGCTTTATAAAAGGTAAAAATATGGGAGACACAGGACTATTCATTCCTCCAGAACAGTTTATTGGTCATGCACATGTCCTCAAATTAAATTCCCCCCAAGATCACCAGCCACCTCCAAAAGTTAAACTCACCTTGCCCCATGGGGCAGGACCTCCCATGCACAGCACAAAGATGACCCACAGGAAAAATAGCCTTCTCTTTGAGGCTCAAGGAGATGTTCTACTACAAGTGCCTATGATGAATTCATCCCTTCCACTGACCTAAATGCAGACAGAAGGCATCAAAAAAAAAAAATCAAATGACAATCCAAAGCCACAGATTTTGTGACCATTTTGCTCTCAATCCTATTCCCCAAAAAGGAAGCACCTTCAGACAGTAGGTGACAAGGACACTGTGTCCAGAGAGGGCGTTTTCATCTAACTACAACTTTCAAACTCACGGCCATTAACATTCACCCAAAATAACTGGACGGTCGCCAACCAGGAAAGGGCACGTTACTAAAACCGGCCCTCCAGCCTCCGAGAGGCTCAGCAGAATTCTGCTTGCTGTGAGTAGGGAAGGAAGCAAGGTCTGTTTATTCTGCCAACGTGCAGAGAGGCACAGTAACTAGGTCACGTTCTCACTCAGGCCTGGATGAAACCACCTGGATGCTCCAAGCCCTCGACCCTGTGGTGCTGGGCAGAAGCTGAGTCTCCTGCACTGAGCACCTCTCCTTGAAGCCTGAAGACACCTCTGGCCACGCACCCCAAGGAGAGCAGTGTCGGGATGGTCCCAGAATCCTTGATGTCCCAAAGAGCCTGTCCCAAGAGCAATGGGCAGAACATGAGCCTTGGTCTAGGCACAGACCCGGGGCTGGCACGCGCCACCGCCAACCACCTGCCACCCAAGCCCCTCAGCCCCCTCTGCAGGGAGTTTAAGCAGTAACTGACCACACACACCCCCACGCCACCCTAGCATAGAGAACACTTAAATCTGGAGCTGGTGGAATCACCAGAAACCCAAATAATTAGCCTCTCTCTAAGCAGAAGCTGATGGAAGCTCACAGTTGACCCATCTCGCCTCTTCCTCCAGACCTTGGACAGATCGGACAGGAAGGACCTTCCATGGAGTATGGTGGTGTCTCCATCAGCTGCGGGATGTAAATCACACAGACGACACGACAATGTGCTTCCCAAGTGAAATCGCAAGCCACGCCTTTACCGCAGGCTCATCAAGTGTTTTCCTCCAACGACAGGCTTTCTAGAACAGCACGACGTGCCTCCAGGGGAGCGTGGTAACAAAATCACATTCGTGCTGCATCTCACGACTTCCTAAGCGGTGGGATGGTTTTCCCTTCACAGCAGACAAACCTCGCATTGCCACACAGTATCTGAAAAACTGCTGGAGCCTCTAGCCCCAGGTAATGACGGAGCTGTCTTTGAGCCCCGCAGAAGTCTCCCAAGTAGGCATTTTTAACAATTTATTAATTTGAAACGCATGTCAGGTGCGATGTGTTTTTGCTCTTGCCTTTTAACCTCTGCAATTAGCAGACAGGTATGTTTTCTTGTGCCTCTTAACAGCCCCCAACAGAGAAGACAAAACACTCAGACTGCCAAAAACATTTCCTGGGCCAAGAAGGCACACCAGCGTAGATGAAGGCTTTTTTCTCTGCTGTAAACCAGTTTTTGCCTCTGCTCTAAACCTCGACACTCTTATTGACAGACAGAGAATCTAGAAGCTGGAGTCTGGGGGAAAAGCTGAAAGCAAGAAAACTGGTTAAGTTTCAAGGTTGATTCGGGGAGAATTCGACAGTAACAAGGGCTTGGGCCGGGCACGGTGGCTCACACGTGTAATCTCAGCACTTTGGGAGGTCAAGGCCAGCGGATCACCTGAGGTCAGGAGTTCGAGATCAGCCTGGCCAACATGACAAAACCCCATCTCTACTAAAAACGCAAAAATTAGCCAGGTGCGGCGGCACACACACGCCTGTACTTCCAGCTACTTGGGAGGCTGAGCCAGGGTCTTCTTTGGTGAGCGCATTTCTGGAGACGATCCCAGAAGCCTCCTGAGAGTCACCTCAACCTACTCAAAGAACAAGCAAAGATGCCTGGCTGGCAAGATGCCTACAGAAAGGGAGGTTCCCAGGGGAGAAAAGAGCTGAGGCTTCTTCCCTCCCACAGTGGGCTCCATCTGCTCACTCACTCATGACAGCAACTAAGCATTGGTGGGGCGCCAGCAGGGGCGAAAGGGAAATTTTTGAGCCCAGTCTTTCACAATGAATAAAATAGTTCAGAACTTACATCCCGATAGAGGATAGTTAGCATTTATTGAGCAATTATTATGACATAAAGATACACACACAGGCCAGGTACGGTAGCGCATGCCTGTAATGCTAGCATTTTAGGAGGCTGGGGTGGGCGGATCGCTTGAGCACAGGAGTTTGAGACCAAGCTGAGCAACATAGCGAGAACCCATCTCTACCAAACAAAATACAAAAATTAGCCAGGGTTCCAGCTACTCAGGAGGCTGAAGTGGGAGGGTCACTTGAGCCTTGTGGGTGGAAGTTGCAGTGAGCCGAGATTGCACCACTGCACTCCAGCCTGGGCCACGGAGCCAGACCCTGTCTCAAAAAAAAAAAGCAACCGAGATACACATAATATAACTTTCATTAAGAGTTTACAATGTCTATATATATATATATATATAAAATATATATAATATATAAAATATATAAAATATATATAATATATAAAAATATATAATATATATAATATATAATATATATATTATATATATAAAATATAATATATATATCTCAAACTCAATGAAAGTTAGCCATTATATATTATACATATAATGTGAGTGTCAAAGCGTGAAGGCTGTCACTACTCTATGAATAGCAATAATTGTAAAATGAAATATGTAACGGTAACTTTTTTTTTTTTTTTGAGATGGAGTCTCTCTTGGACGCCCAGGCTGGAGGGCAGTGGTGCAATCTCAGCTCACTGCAACATCCGCCTCCTGGGTTTAAGCAATTCTCCTGCCTCACCCTCCTGAGTAGCTGGGACTACAGGTGCCCGCCATCACACCTGGCTAATTTTTTTGTATTTTTAGTAGAGACGGGGTTTCACCATGTTGGCCAGGCTGGTCTCAAACACCTGACCTCAAGTGATCCACCCGCCTCAGCTTCCCAAAGTGCTGGGATTACAGGCGTGAGCTACTGCGCCCGGCTGAGTAAAGTTATCTTCGTAGTTCTACATTATTATTATTTTTTATTAAAGTATCAAAACATTATATTGTATGTGAATTTACTTCAAACTTCTTTTTCTGCTAACTAGTACATGATTATTATAGAAAATCTAGGATACACAGCAAGGCAAGAAGGAGAAAATTAAAGTCATCTGTCATTTCATCACCTTCAGATGACTGCTGTTAATATCGTGAATGTACACACACACTTCCAGCCCTCTCCCTATAAATATAATTACAAATGTTCTTCCACAAAATTGGGATCATATTATTTGTTAACTTATTTTTTACATTAAGCAGTATATTGTCTGCCCACGTCCTTCAATAACATTCTGCATCGCAACTTAAAGTCTGCAGAGTATCCCATAATATTGATGTGCCACAGTTTATTTTACATTATTAAATTAGCAGTTTCATTTTTTTTTTTTTTGAGACAGGGTTTTTGGTTTTGTTTTTTTTGAGACAGAGTTTGTCAGTTTGTGGCCCAGGCTGGAGTGCAGTGGAGTGGTACAATCTCAGCTCACTGCAACCTCCACCTCTGGGCTTCAAGCAATCCTCCTATTGGTCTCCAGAGTAGCTGGGACCATAGGCACACACCACCATACCCAACTAATTTTTGTATTTCTTGTAGAGACAGGGTCTCACTATGTTGCCCAGACTAGTCTTGAACTTCTGAGCTCAAGCAATCGGTCCACCTTGGCCTACCAAAGTGCTGGAATTACATACAGGAGCCATCACGCTTGGCTCTATTTGAGCTTTCAGTTGCCATAGGAAATATTCCACAGAATGACTGCTTTTTTTGTAAAAGCTTCATTGAGATACAATCCAAAATTCACCAATTTAAAATGTACAATTCAGGCCAGACACAGTGGCTCACGCCTGTAATCCCAGCATTTTGGGAGGCCAAGGCAGGTGGATCACCTGAGGTCAGGAGTTCAAGACCAGCGTGACCAACATGCTGAAACCCAGTTTCTACTAAAAATACAAAAATAGCCAGGCGCGGTGGCGCACGCCTGTGATCCCAGCTACTTGAGAGGCTGAGGCAAGAGAATCGCTTGAACCCAGGTGGTGGAGGTTGCAGTGAGCCAAGACTGCACCACTGCACTCCAGCCTGGGCAACAAGAGTGAATCTCCATCTTAAAAAAAAAAAAAAAAAAAAAAAAGTACAATTCAATGGTTCTCAGTATAATTACAGAACTGTGTAATGACCATCACAATCAATTTTAGAACATTTTCATCTTTTCTCCCCAAGAAACACTGTACCTTTGATCAGTCATTTTCCATTACTCTTCAACTATCTTCCAACCCCCAGCCTTAGGCAACCACTAATCTACTTTCTGTATCTATAGATTTGTCTACTCTGGATATTTTATATAAATGGAATCACACAGTATGTAGTTTCTTGTGACCGGCTTCTTTCACTTAGCAAAATGTTTTCAAGGTTCAGCCATGAGTAGTAGCATATATCAATGCTTAATTCATTTTTACAGCCAAATATCACATCATTGTATGGATACGTACACTTTCTTTTTCCATTCATCCACTGATAAACATTTAAGTTGTTTCTGCTCTTTGGCTACATCAATAACACTGCCATGAACATTCATATACAGGTTTTCATATGGGCACATATTTTCATTTCTCTTAGATGTATACCTAGGAACAGAATGGCTGGCTCATTTAGTGATGTCATGTTGAATCTCTTGAGGAACAACTGCTTTCCAAAGCAGCTTCACCATTTTACATCCACACCAGCAGCCTAGGAATGTTCTAGCCTCTCTACATCTTCACCAACACTTGTTATTATCTATCTTTTTATTACAGTCATCCTAGCGGGTATGAAGTGACATCTAATTGTGGTTTTGATTTGCATTTCCCTGATGGCTAAAGATGTTGGGCATCTTTTCATGTACCTTCTTTGGAGAAATGCCTATTCATATCCTTGGCCCGTTTTTAATTGGGTTATCAATTATTGAGTTATAAAAGTTTTTAACATATTGTAGATTCAAGCCCTTTACAGATTTTCAAAACGCATTTCCCACTCTGTGAGGTGTCTTTTCACTGTCTTGATGGTATCCTTTGATGCACAATTTTTGATGAAATACAATGTATCTATTCCTGTTGCTTGTGCTTTCAAGGCATAAAAATTTACACCTATGTTTTCTTCTAAGAGTTTTATAGTTTTAGTTCTTATATTAGGTCACTGATCCATTTTGAGTTAATTTTTACATACAGTGTGAGACAATGGTCCAAATTCACTCTTTCATATACGAATATCTAGTTGCTCCAGCACTATTTTTTCAAAAGACTATTCTTCCCATCACTGAATTATCTTAACCAATAAGACAGTCAAAAGAAAATAAACCATAAATGTGAGAGTTTATTTCTGGACTCTCAATTCTAGTCCACTGATCTATACACCAGGACCACACTGTCTTGATTACTGTAGCTCTGTAGTAAGTTTTTAAAGTCATCCAACTTTGCTCTTCTTTTTCAAGACTGTTTTGGCTATTTTGGGTTCCCTGCATTTCCATATGAATTTTAGGATCACCATCTCAGTTTCTGCAGAAAGGGCAAGCTGGGATTTTGAAAGGTATTGTGTTTAATCTATAGATTAATTTGGGGAGTTTTGCTATCTCCACAACATTAAGTCTTCCAATCCATAGACACAGGACGTCTTTCCATTTATTTAAGTCTTCATTAATTTCTTTCAATGATGTTTTGTAGTTTGCAATGTGCAAGGCTTGAACTTCTTCAGTCAAATTTACTCCTAAATATCTTATTCTTATTGATGATATTATAAACGAGATTGTTCTCTTAATTTCTTTTTTTATTTTTCCTTGCTAGCATATACACATATAATTCATTTTTGTATACTGATCTTGGATCTTGCAGTCTTGATGAACTCATTTATTAAATGGAATAGTTATCTAGGTGATTCCTTAGGATTTTCTCTCTACAGGATCATCTCATCTGCAAATAGAGATCGTTTTACTTCTTCCTTTACAATCTGGATACCTTTTATTTCATTTTCTAACTACGCTGGCTAGAACCTCCACTACAAAGTTGAATGGGGGTGGTGAGAGCAGACACTCTTGTGTCGCTCCTGAGGCTAGTTAAGGTAAAGCGTTCATTCTTTCTCCATTAAGTGTGATTTTAGCTCTGTGAGTAGACTTTTTAAAACTATTTGTGTAAAAGGTTATTTTGCTGTTATGTCCATTCATAAAAGGACCTAAGTATGCTTATTTCCCAATACACAACTTCCTTAATATTTAGTTATCTTACAGATTTTCAATATTCTTTATGCTTGTACTAGGTAAGAAAGAGAAAATAACAAGCTCGAGTAATTCTGAAGTTCAAGAAGATTTGAAATGGGCGTATTTAATAAAACCCAATGTCTGTGGTGAAATAAACACCTGCTAATATAAAGTCCAAGCAATGGACATTCATGTCAATTTGACATTTCCCCGAGTTGCAAGTCACTCAATTTACTGCTGAAAAGAAAGGCTTTATTCTGAGCATGTTCTGAAATTCTGTACCAATTTTCCTGCTTCGACATTCCCTGAGTTCTTATTCTGTTGCTCACCAAAGTTAGTTCCACCACAAAAAGCTCTTTACAGTAACAACAACAAAAAAAAAAATTGGAAAGATCTATTCTAATTTTATTTAAATCTATAAATCCTAAAACAAAGAGGGATTTGACACTTAGCTAATTTAATTATTTAGTACCAAATACTTCAGATAAAAAAACTACACCCGGAAACCTGGATTATGTGGTTTGATGCTCTAAACAAATTATATTAGAGCAACAGCTTGGTTAGCTAGAATACATAGAGAGAAGTGCAGGGGAAATGTGTGCACTTTGGAAGAACTGGCTTCAAATCCCAGATCTGTCCATTACTAGCTGTGCTTCCTCAGACAAGTTATTTCTCTTCCATGTGCCAACTACAAAAAAAAAAAAAAATTGCTACTTGCAGGGATGTTGTACAGATTAAACGACACATTTAATCAAAGTGCTAGGAAGGAACACAGAAAGTGCTATTATTACTTGAAGTCATGTTTGTTTGTTTGTTTGTTTGAGATGAAGTCTCACTCTGTTGCCCAGGCTGGAGTGCAGTGGCGCGATCTCAGCTCACTGCAACCTCCGCCTCCCGAGTTCAAAAGATTCTCCTGCCTCAGTCTCCCGAGTAGCTCAGATTACAGAGGTCCGCCACCACGCCCAGCTAATTTTTGTATTTTTAGTAGAGATGGGATTTTACCATGCTGCCCAGACTGGTCTGGAACTCCTGACCTCAGGTGATCCGCCCACCTCAGCCTGCCAAAGTGCTGAGATTACAGGTGTGAGCCACCATGCCCATCCTGGTTTTTAAACTTTTATAGCTAAAATCTTTCTAAACAGTATTAGCATTTTTATGTCTGGGTATGATAATAAACAGACTATAGCACCTTTATTTCTGAGTATTTCATATGAAAGATCCTATGTAAGTTACCAAAACATGCGTCAGGCTCACCCACAAGTACCTTATCATCTAGTATAAACAAGTGTGATGCATACCATAAGGATTTCACATACATTATCATTACAAGATATGACACAGATAAAAGGTGTCCATGGGGCTGACTATATAGTGAGAGGCTGGGCACACATTCTACAACATGGTTTTCATTAATATATTCCAAATATTAGCTCAGACAACTGTTGTTCAACTGTTCTCCCTAAAAGGTGGTACAGCAAGTCCCCACTTAATGTCCAGTCAGTTCTTGGAAATTGACTTTAAGCAAAATGACATACTTGAATATCATCATTTTGTTCAATATCATTTCATTACAACACTGATAAAAAAATGAAAAATTGTGGTTTTGTTACGTCATTTCACTCAAAGTCACAGTTTCCAAGGAAAATGGACTGGTGTGGAAAAACCCACACAATGAGTGTCAGAAGTGTCGTGAGTATATAGCAAAACAGTTTTTTTTTCTTTTAAAACGTTTTACTCTTGCTTTATAGTACCAAGTCACCTAAAACGCCAGGTCTCTGCTATGAAAACTCATCAGGCAACAGCACAGTCGAACTCATCATTTCTACCAATTAAACATGCCCCTGGTACCAGCTAATTGGCACATCTGGGATCATCCAATTAGCAAGACAATGAACACTGACCAGACTCCGAACATGAACGCGGACTGCTTCTGTATGCCACGCCACAACCGTCAGAGAACTCAGACTGTATCGTCAATTCTCAGCAGCTTGCACTGTCTTCTTTAAAAAACTTGAGAATTGGCTGGGTGCAGTGGCTCAAACCTGTAATCCCAGCACTTTGGGAGGCCAAGGCAGGCGGATCACCTGAGGTCAGACCAGCCTGGCCAACAAGGTGAAACCCGTCTCTACTAAAAATACAAAAATTAGCCAGGTGCAGTGGCATGCGCCTGTAATCCCAGCTACTCAGGAGGCTGAGGCAGGAGAATTGCTTGAACCTGGGAGGCAGAGGTTGGAGTGAACCAAGATCGTGCACTCCAGCCTGAGTGACAGAAGGAGAATCCGTCTCAAAAAAAAAAAAAAAAAGAAAGCATTATGATTTTCTAGTCCTTCCGACATTTTTTAAGAACCACTACCCAAGATTTCTCCTTGCAGGATTCAGAAGCAATCACCCAAGTCAAGCTGTGACCACCCCAGGAAGGGAACGGCATTCATTCTACAACTTTATAAGGGGCGGGGCCCGCTGTCACTGCTCAATGTATGTACAAAGCTGACCTCCTTTTGCTATTATTTTCAAGACATGACCAGTTCTTTTCATTCCTACTTCCTTTTTTATTTCCAATAAAGGGAAAAGGCAGGCTTTCACCTAAATCAAAATGGAAGAGTCATAAAAATGTACAAGCTACTTCACACAGGCATATACTTTTCATTGATTTCATCTCAACCTCAAACCATTCATTTTAACTCAAAAACAACCTGACAAATGACTAGGCCAATTATATCATTACTAAATGTGTGAGCCTTCAATTAACTGAGAAATGCGTGGGGTTTGTTTTTTTGTTTGTTTGTTTTTGAGACAGAGTCTTGCTCTGTTGCCCAGGCTGAAGTGCAGTGGTGCAATCTCAGCTCACTGCAATCTCCGCCTCATGGGTTCAAGCGATTCTCCTGCCTCAGCCTGATGAGTAGCTGGGACTACAGGCACGTGACCCCATGCCTGGCTAATTTTTTGTGTTTTTAGTAGAGATGGGGTTTCACCGTGTTAGCCAGGATGGTCTCGATCTCTGACCTCGTGATCCGCCCGCCTTGGCCTCCCAAAGTGCTGGGATTACAGGCATGAGCCACTGCGCCCAGCTGAGAAATGGTCTTAAACATATATTGACTTGGGTGGCATCATGATAAGAAAAATCCTTCCCTTTTTTCCGGGCAATAATCACATGAAAAACTGAAGTGCAATTATGTTATCAGCTTCATAAAAGGAAGGATTTGTTTGGCCTCCTTTGGGTTGTCAAACTCAATAATCATTACAAAACCTAGGCTCCAAGTGTGACGAATTCCTTGTAGCCTTAAAAACCTTTACTCTCATATTTATAATCATTGATCCTTTTAATTGGAAGGTGAGACAGTATCATAATAATTGCTCTGCTAGATTCAGAACTAAGGAAAAAGGGTTTCACCTGATGTTCAATCAATCAGCGATGCCTCTTCTTTTTTTTTGAGATAGAGTCTCGCTCTGTCACCCAGGCTGGAGTGCAGTGGTGCCATCTTGGCTCACTGCAAGCTCCACCTCCCAGGTTCACACCATTCTCTTGCCTCAGCCTCCCGAGTAGCAGGGACTACAGTCACCCGCCACCACGCCCGGCTAATTTTTTTGCATTTTTAGTAGAGACGGGGTTTCACCGTGTTAGGCAGGATGGTCTCGATCTCCTGACCTCATGATCCGCCCGCCTCGGCCTCCCAAAGTGCTGGTATTACAGGCGTGAGCCACCGCGCCCGGCCAACAACACCCTTTTTTTTAAAAGTCCTCCCAAAAGATTTATACTGATCCATCCACTTTCTGGCACATTTTTGAAAGATATTTAGCCAGGAGTAGAGTCGTATCTGGCCATGAATCTGAATGGTAAAAACTGGCCTCAAATTAAGTTATTTTATTTTCTTTCATTGATTAATTGATTGATTGAGACAAGGTTTCGCTTTGCCGCCCAGACTGCAGTGCAGTGGCACGATCTCGGCTCACTGCAACCTCCGCCTCCAGGGTTCAAGCAATTCTCCTACCTCAGCCTCCCGAGTAGCTGGGATTACAGATGTGCACCACCATGCCCGGCTAATTTTTGTATTTTTAGTAGAGACAGGGTTTCACCATGTTGGCCAGGCTTGTCTGGAACTCCTGACCTCAGTTGATCCACTGGCCTCAGCATCCCAAAGTGCTGGGATTACAGGCGTTAGCCACCAAGACTGGCCCCAAATTAAGGGATTTTAGCTAACATTTTTGAGCACTTAAACACCAGGCATTAAACAAACAAGAAACTCTGATGATTTATCTCATGAAAACCTCATCACGACCCTAAATAATATAAACAATTATGATTTCCATTTTATGAACTATAAGTAGAGGTTCAGCATCATGCAGACAGATCCCTGGTGAGCAGTCATGCTGAGATTCAGGCCAAAACAGCGTTATATTCGTCCAGAGACCACTGTCTACTTATAAGATCCATTGACTGAGAAAGCCTGCAGGCCACCATATTTTAGGAACCCCTCAAATTTTCTTCAAAATAGTACCTCAAAGATTTTCTTGCTCTACTAAAAGAAATGCATGCTTGGTCAGGTGCAGTGGCTCTTGCCTGTAATCCCAACACTTTGGGAGGCCGAGGTGGGCAGATCACCTGAGATCAGGAGTTTGAGACCAGCCTGACCAATATGGTGAAACCTTGTCTCCACTAAAAATACAAAAATTAGCCGGGCATGCTGGTATGTGCCTGTAGTCCCAGCTACCTGGGAGGCTGAGACAGGAGAATCACTTGAACCCAGGAGGCGAAGGTTGCAGTGAGCTGAGAGCGCACCACGGCACTCCAGCCAGGCGACAGAGCAAGACTATCTCAAAAAAAAAAAAAAAAGAAAAGAAAAAGAAAAAGAAATGCATGCTCACACTTGGATAGAGATCTCATGAGAAAAAAACCTTGCAAGTGTCCAGTAAACTCTAGTGCTCAATAAACTTTCTTAACCACTAACCCTAAGAAAATTTTAGTCACTAAAAAGCCTTTGATATTAGGCTAAAAAGAGTAGAGAAGAAAGTTTTATAACTGAAAGGGATTGGGATCAGCTACCTGATTTGTGGGACCCAGTGTGAAATGAAAATGGGGATACCCTTGTTCAAAAAAAAAAAAAATACTAAGGGGCCAGTCACAGTGGTTCGTACCTATAATCCCAACACCTTGGGAAGCCAAGGCCAGGAGTTCAAGACTAGTCTGGGCAATAGAGCGAGACCCCATTTCTACAAAAAAAAAAAAAAATTTAAGTTTGCCAAGTGTGGTGGTGTGCACCTGTGGTCCCAGCTACACAGGAGGCTGAGGAGGGAGATCACCTGAGCACAGGAGTTAGAGGCTGCAGTGAGCTATGATTGCACCACCTCACCCTAGCCTGGGCAATGGAGTGAGACGCTGTATCTAAAAAATATATCTATTAAAACAAAAAGTAGTAAGGGCTTTAGACGGAGAGAGCAGTGCACTAGATGAAGTATGGAGCCCTTTGCACATGGGCCCCTGGGCAGCCAGGCAGGGTGAACGCCCATGAGGCTGGCCCAGGAAATAATTGGTGTCTAGTCCCCCAGAGGTCATACTGGACTCCAGAGGAACGAGGCCTCACAGCCTGTGAAGTGGCCTGTGAGCTGGGCCGCATGCCTGGGGTGCTTTCTCTGGAATTAACCATGTGCAAAATCAGAATCTCAAACTAGAATGTTCAACAGCTTGGCTCCTAATACCTTTGGATGTTAACCTAATGCAAGATATAGTTTAAACTTCTTCTTATTGCTATGAAATTGCCTGTGACAACATGAAAAGGTCATCTTGCACATAAATCACAAGAGCCACAGAGATTTCCAAACATATCCTAAACAGAAGCAATGAGCAACTGTGCACATCATGCCAGATCATCTGTCTTAAGAGACTGGGTGTTCGAGATTTTTAATTTTCCCATGTGCGATCTCCTGGTGTTCTCCAATCATTAAAAATATGAAGAAACCCCTTGAAGTGCATTCCTATATGGTGGGTCCTTTATTACACAGCTTATTTATAATGACTTCTTAAAATTAAGAAGCCCTGAAACAAAGTAAATGTGATCTAATAAACTCCTGAATAACGTTTGTAATACATTGTAACAAGAAAAGAAAAATCATTATTTTAGTGCGAGCAGAACAAGGACAGCAACAAAAACAAAAAAATCTTAAGGGAAGAACATTGAGCTTCAAGTCAAAGAATATCTGTTCTGCTCACTCACCTGCTTAAGTGACCAGGACAACATCCACTCATATAAGAGGACAAGGACAGAAACATGTTTTAGCCATTTGAGAAAATAAAGCTGACTTTGTCTGAATCTCTGGATATCTGACTTAATTTTCCATGACCTTTTGCCAATGGATACCTAAGCTATAAAGATCATACACTTTTTTTAAAAGTTTCAGAGAATACTACATTTTGTTTGCCAGAACACTGGGAAGAACATTTTTTTTTTAATTTGTTTGTTTTGTTTTGTTTGCCAACAGCCTGATTCAAAATCTCAGGGTTCTCTGGATGTTTCAAAAATTATTATCTTCATTTGCCAGGAGAGAAATAGCCATGCAATAACAAAATGTGTGCTTGACCTATAAAAATAAGGCCGGGTGCGGTGGCTCACACCTGTAATCCCAGCACTTTGGGAGGCCGAGGCAGGAGGATCACTTGAGGTCAGGAATTTGTGACCAGCCTGGTCAACATGGTGAAACCCCGTCTCTACTAAAAATACAAAAATTAGCAGGGCGTGGTGGCAGGTGCCTGTAATCCCAGCTACTGGGGAGGCTGAGGCAGGAGAATCGCTTGAACCTAGGAGGCAGAGGGTGGAGATTGCAGTGAGCCGAGATCACGCCACTGTACTCCAGCCTGGGCGACAGAGCAAGACTCTGTCTCAAAAAAAAAAAAGAAAAGAAAAGAAAAAAAATGGTTACTAAGGCCATTCCTCTGTCAGCACAAAGGTTTCTCAGGAGTGTGAGCAGGTGGGGGAATCCAGACCCTGCATTCTCATCTGCAGAGCCTAATATGATTTCCAGTTCCAGGCTCCAGGCAAGGCCTCCACCGGACCTCAGGAGAAGCATGACAGGAGTACAGGTTTGATGATTCCATAATAAACTAACAAAGACCCTTCACACCAACACATGAAGGTGCCCCTGGCGGCACTCCCTGGACCACTGGCCGGTGGTGGAGTTTCCCAGGACCTGCCCTAGAGGAGGCTCAAAGCCGGCTCTGGAAAAGTCTGTTCCATCTCGGTCAGCACAGCCTTCCGGAAGCTTCTTCACACAGATCTAGGTTCAAATCCCCGCCCTCTGACTTATTCTTTTAGTCACGTGACCGGAGGCCAGTTAGTTCTCCTCATCTGTCAAACAGTACTTAAGCCACAGGGTTGGTGATGGGGTAAAGGCCCCGTCGAGTGTCTAAGGAAGTACCTGATGCCAAGCAGAAATTCAAACGCCATAGACATCTTATTCTTTTTATTCTTTTTTTTTTTTTTTTTTTTTTTTTGGGACAGAGTCTCCCTCTGTCACCCAGGCTGGAGTGCAGTGGTATGATGTCAGCTGACTGCAACCTCTACCTCCCAGGTTCAAGTGATCCTCCGGCCTCAGCCTCCCGAGTAGCTGGGACTACAGGCACACACCACCACACCTGGCTGATTTTTGTATTTTTCGTAGAGACAGGGTTTCGCTATGTTGGCCAGGCTGGTCTCGAACTCCTGGCCTCAAGTGATCTGCCCACCTCAGCCTCCCAAAATGCTAGGATTATAGGTGTGAGCCACCGTGCCCGGCTGCATGCTCTGGTTTTAGAGAAATCGGCATACGGACCAAAAGTCCTAAAACTGCAAAAGAGCACAATCTGTAAGGGTAAAAAATGAAAAACGCCAAATACACACTGCTTCCCATAAATCATGTCAAGACTACAACAAGCCGTGTTTGAGAGGAGGAAACCCCAACGAGGAAATAATAGAGTAATGGCATTCAGCAGGATACCCTAGGACACAGGCAATCGGGATACCCAACAAATGGAAGGACAGAAGAAGCCAAATGTCATTTATGTTCAGCTTTGGGCCATTACTGGGCAAGAGTCTTTTTTTGGAGTACCAGCAGCACCAAGGCAGCATCCTAATGACATTTCCCTGACAACTCACCCTTTCCCAAGCACAGCAATGTGGCAGCCAAGGAAAAGGGCCTGTAAACAGGTGAGGGGGGAGGCAGGGCAAAGCCCCATGGATTAAACACTCATTGCAGCTAATCTACGCAGTGAGCAATCCTCACACGGAAGGCGGGGATGATTTATAGAGACGAAATCCAGAGGAAGAAAATAGTGGGGGAACGTTCTCAAGGACTTATCAGTAACAAAAACATTTAGAAAAGCAGGCTCTCTAAACCACCGTGGAGACAATTCCATTACTCGGGATTTTTAAAACAGAACCAAATAAACTCTCCATCCATTACTCAGTGTGCAAGGTATTTTGGAAAATCACGTGTAAGAGATCACATGTAAGAAAGTGTCCCCTGCTCTCATGAAGATTTCGGTTGCATCAGAGAAAATTTTCCCGAAAGCAAAACAGCTCAGGCGCAGTGAGTGGCTCACACCTATAATCCCAGAACTTTGGAAGGCCGAGGTGGGAGAATCACTTGAGGCCAGGAGTTCAAGACCAGCCTGGGCAACACATAGTGAGACCCCCATCTCCACAAAAATATTTCTTTTTTTTTTTTTTTTTTTTTGAGACGGAGTCTTACCCTGTCACCCAGGCTGGAGTGCAATGGCGTGATCTTGGCCCACTACAACTTCCGCCTCCCAGGTTCAAGTGATTCTCCTGCCTCAGCCTCCCAAGTAGCTGGGATTACAAGCGCCCACCACCACACCCGGCTAATTTTTTGTATCTTTAGTAGAGACAAGGTTTCGCCATGTTGGCCAGGCTGGTCTCAAACTCCTGACCTTGTGATCCCACCCGCCTCAGCCTCCCAAAGTGCTGGGATTACAGGCATG
This sequence comes from Homo sapiens, assembly GCF_000001405.40. Lineage (NCBI taxonomy): Eukaryota > Metazoa > Chordata > Mammalia > Primates > Hominidae > Homo > Homo sapiens. The sequence continues at coordinate 12,374,677 of NC_000010.11, read as the reverse complement.
AGCCAATGCGCCCGGTCCACAGAAATATTTCTAAAAAAAGAAAAATATAGGACAACTGACCCTCAAGAGCATGAGTTGAAGAATGAAAGAATAAAGACAGAGAAGCCCAAAGTAGGCTGCAAGCATCTGGGAGCAGTGGGTGGCAGAGATCAGATTTGAGTTGGCCCTGAAGAATCAGTGGTGGGCTCTGGAAGCAGGAGATACTACGTGAGCAAGGACACAGAGACTGGGGTAAGCCTCTGGGATCTGTAGGACACGGTACCGTGTTTTAGGAGTTCACGGGGAATGGTAGGACACAGGGAATGGCTAGAAGCCAGCTCTCCTAACCATTACTGTAAAGGGGCTTCCTTGCCCTGGTTGGTCGATTTTGCCACCTAGGCTCTTTTTTTCTTTTTTCTTTTTTTTTTTTTTTTTTTTTTGAGACAGAGTCTCGCTCTGTCACAAGGCTGGAGTGCAGTGGTGCAATCTTGGCTCACTGCAACTTCCGCCTCCTGGGTTCAACTGATTCTCCTGCATCAGTCTCCTGAGCAGCTGGGACTACAGATGCCCACCATGACACCTGGCTAATTTCTATATTTTTAGTAGAGACGGGGTTTCACCATGTTGGTCAGGCTGGTCCTGCACTCCTGATCTCAAGTGATCTGCCCACCTCAGCCTCCCAAAGTGCTAGGATTACAGGCATGAGTCACTGCACCTGGACTTTTTTTTTTTTTTTTTTTTTGATAAAGAGTGTCGCTGTCTTGCCCAGCTAATTTTTGTATTTTTAGTAGAGATGGGGTTTCACCATGTTGGCCACCCTGGTCTCGAACTCCTGACCTCCAGTGATCCGCCTGCCTCGGCCTCCCAAAGGGCTGGGATTACAGGCGTGAGCCACCGCATCTGGACTGCCCCCTGAGCTCTTAACAGAGAAAATGTGACGCAAACCCATGTCCCCACCATGCAGAGCGGCAGACAGCAGGTGATGTAAGCATGCTATGAAGTGTTTTAGATGTTCATAGGGAATGGGAGATTTTGGGGTGTTTTTTTGTTTGTTTGTTTGTTTTTTTGAGATGGAGCCTCCCTCTGTCACCCGGGCTGGAGTACAGTGGCACGATCTCGGCTCACTGCAACCTCCACCTCCCAGGTTCAAGCGATTCTCCTGCCTCAGCCTCCTGAGTAGCTGGGATTACAGGCACCCACCACTACGCCTGGCTAATTCTTGCATCTTTAGTAGAGACGGGGTTTCACCATGTTGGCCAGGCTGGTCTCAAACTCCCGACCTCAGGTGACCCACCCGCGTTGGCTTCCCAAAGTGCTGGGATTACAGGCGTGCACCACAGCACCTGGACTGTTTTTATTTTTTTAATATCTTTTTTCTTTTTTATTGAGACAGGCTCTCCCTCTGTCACCCAGGCTGGAGTGCCATGGCGTGATCACGGCTCACTGCAGCCTCAACTTCCTGGGCTCAGGTGATCCTCCCACCTCAGTCTCCAAAGTAGCTGGGACTACAAGCACGCACCACCACACCCAGTTAATTAGGCATGGACACAGTACCAATTTCCAGGAAGAAGCGGACCACGTCTCTCATTTGCCACTGAAGCCCCGGCTGGGACAGCACCAGCCCTAAGCAAGCGCTTTGCAAACGTCTGTTAAAAGAATACCTGGTGGCCACCCGGGAAGTGGGTCATTTAAGCTTTACCAGAAAAACAATTCCGTTACCAGCTCTTATGATTCATCTCCATCTATCACTTCTGTTAAAAATTACTCCCATGAGGCACAGTGGCTCACGCCTATAATCCCAGCACTTTGAGAGGCCAAGGCAGGGGAATCGCTTGAGCCCAGGAGTTCAAGACCAGCCTGGGAAAGACAGTGAGACCCAGTCTCTATTAAAAATGCAAAAAAATTAGCTGAGCCTGGTGGCATGTGCCTGTATTCTCAGCTACTCGGGAGGCTGAGGTGTGAGGATCACCTGAATCCAGGAAGTCGAGGCTGCAGTGAGCCGTGATCACGAGGCTGCAGTGAGCCATGATCCAGCCTGAATGACAGAGTGAGACCCTGTCTCGATTAATTAATAAAATAAAAATTACTCCCATTCCCTATGAACCCCTGAAACACTTCATACCATGCTAACATCACCTACCACCTGCTGCTCTACATGGTGGGGACATGGGTCCCTGTCACATTTTCTCTGTTAAGAGCTCAAGGGGCAAAACTGACCAACCAGGGCAAGGAAAACCAATGGCTGGGAGCACTGGCTTTGGCCCCAGACAGATACCTTTACTGACGTTCAAATCCCAATTCTTCAAGACAGATAGGTCTATGTGACCTTGGCCAAGTTACTCAACCACTCTGGGCCTCAGTTTCCTCATCTCTAAAATGGTGGTGACAAGAGTATCTATTTTATTGAATGGCTGTGCAGGTTTAGTATGAAAATTCACGTGAAATACAGCCATGCATCACTTAACAGTCTCGGGTATGTTCTGAGAAATGCATCTTTTAGGAGATTTGTCATTGTGCAAACATCACAGTGTGCATTTACACAAACCTAGGTATGGCCTACTACACACCTAGGCTAGATGATACAGCTACTGCTCCTAGACTGCCAACCTGTACAGCATGTGATGGCACTGGATACAACAGGCAACTGTAACACAACAGTAAGTAGTTGTATATCTAAATATATCAAGATACGGAAAAGGTGCAGTGAAAATACAATGTAAAAGATTTTTTAAGCCGGGGCACCACGGCTCACACCTGTAATCCCAACACTTTGGGAGGCCAAGGCTGGCAGATCACCTGAGGTCAGGAGTTCGAGACCAGTCTGGCTAACATGGTGAAACCCCATCTCTACTAAAAATACAAAAATTAGCCGGGCCTGGTGGTGCATGCATGTAATCCCAGCTACTCAGGAGGCTGAGGCAGGAGAATCACTTGACCACCACGCCCAGCTAATTTTTCTATTTTTAGTAGATACAGGGTTTCACCATCTTGGCCAGGCTGGTCTTGAACTCCTGACCTCATGATCCACCCGCCTTGGCCTCCCAAAGTGCTGGGATTACAGGCGTGAGCCACTGTGCCTAGCCAAAAAAGTTTTTTTTTGTTTTTTTTTGGTTTTTTTTTTTTTCGGGACAGTCTCGCTCTGTCACCCAGGCTGGAGTGCAGTGGCACGATCTCGGCTCACTGCAACCTCCGCCTACTGGGTTCACGCCATTCTCCTGCCTCAGCCTCCTGAGTAGCTGGGACTACAGGCGCCCGCCACTAAGCCCGACTAATTTTTTGTATTTTTAGTAGAGACGGGATTTCACCGTGTTAGCCAGGATGGTCTCGATCTCCTGACCTTGTGATCTACCCACCTTGGCCTCCCAAAGTGCTGGGATTACAGGTGTGAGCCACCGTGCCCGGCCTCAAAAAAGATTTTTTAAATGGTGAACCTGTATAGGGCACTAGTCATGAATGGAGCTTCCGGGCCTAGAAGTCACCCTGGGTGAGTGAGTGAGTGAGTGAGTGAGTGGTGAGTGAATGAGAAGGCCTAGAGCATTACTCTACACTACTGTAGACTTTATACATATTGTACACTTAGGCTATACTAAAGTTATTGTTTTAATTTTTCTTCCATCAATGATAATATTAGCTTACTGTAACTTAACTTTTTAATTTTTTGACTCTTGTAATAACAGCTTAAAACACACACACTGTATAGCTGCAAAAAAATAAATTTTCTTTATTTCCTTATTCTATAAGCTTTTTCCTATTCTTTTAACTTTTTAATTTTGTTAAAAATTAAAACACAAGGCCGGGTGCAGTGGCTCATCCCTGTAATCCCAGCACTTTGGGAGGCCGAGGTGGGTGGATCACCTGACGTCAGGAGTTCGAGACCAGCCTGGCCAGCACGGTGAAACCCCGTCTCTACTAAAGTACAAAAATTAGCCGGGCGTGGTGGCGCATGCCTGTAGTCCCAGCTACTCAGGAGGCTGTGGCAGGAGAATCGCTTGAACCTGGGGAGGCGAAGGTTGCAGTGAGCCAAGATCACGCCACCGCAGTCTAACCTGGGTTAGAGACTCTGCCTCAAAAAAAGAAAACAAAGAACACAAACACACACATTAGCGTAGTTCAACACAGGATCGGGATCATCAATATCACCGTCTTCCACCTCCACATCTTGTCCCACTGGAAGGTCTTCACGCACAGTATCACGCATGGAGCTGGCATCATCTCCTACGATAACAACGCTTTCTGGATACCTCCTGGAGGACCTGCCTGAGGCTGTTCTACCGTTGACTTTTTTTTTAATAAGTAGAAGGAGTATACTCTAAAATAACAATAAAAAGCAGAGCATAGCAAATACATAAACCAGTAACATCATTGTTTATTATCACTATCAAGTATTAGGTGCTGCACATAATTGTATGTGCCGGACTTCTGTGCGACTGGCAGTGTAACAGGTCTGTTGACCCCAGCATCGCCACAAACATGTGAGTAATCCATGGCACCACAACATCATGACAGCGACAACGAGGCAACAGGAATGCTTCCGCTCCATTATCATTGCCCCAGGGCACCACTGTCGTATATGCAGTCCATGTATCACTGACGATGTTACAGGTGGCAGCTCACTATATTGTACTTGCCACAGTATGTAACACCTGGTAAATGCTCAGTAAATATTTGCTATTATTATTAAATAATAAATAATAAAATAATTTAATATTTAATATATTAATAACGTAATGCTTTTTTTTTTTTGAGACAGAGTCTCACTCTGTTACTCAGACTGGAGTGCAATGACGTGATCTCAGCTCACTGCAACCTTCGCCTCCCAGGTTCAAGCAATTCCCCTGCCTCAGCCTCCCGAGTAGCTGGGATTATAGGCACGCGCCACCACACTCAGCTAATTTTTGTATTTGTAGAGACGGGGTTTCACCATGTTGGCCAGGCTGGTCTTGACCTCCTGACCCCAAGCGACGCACCCACCTGGGCCTCTCAAAGTGCTGGGAATACAGGCGTGAGCCGCCACGCCTGGCCAACATAATGCTATTTAAATATATTATTAAAACTATATATTCCTTTATCCTACAGAAGCCGGCGTCCTCTTTGACACATAGCAACTCATTATATACTCACTGAGCAATGCTATGTAATTTCTGACTTCTGGAACTTTCTTAGGCAACAGCCCAGCTCACTGTCCCTGAGCCCCCATCCCGATGAGATGACCCTCTTTTCAGCTTCATATGTGCACCTTCCTACCGATACACAGTCACACTGAACTGTAATTACATGTTTTTCTGTCTCCCCAAAAAGTTCCCTCAGGACAAGAACCACGTTTTGTTTACCAACACTTTCTTAGTGCCTGGCATGGAGTAGACTCAATCCATCCTATCTGATGGTTTTGTTGTTGTTGTTTTAAAGTTCAAATCCTAACTATGTCATTCAGGACCTATGAGCCCTTTGGCAAGGTACATCATCTTCCTGAGTTTCTCGTCTCTCATATTTAAGTGGGGGTAACAGTACCTACCTTTCCAGCTTGTTGTGAGGTTTTGTTGCAATAACAAAAGCTGGAATCTGTCTCTCAATTGTCCAAAATCCTGGCTGGGTGTGGTGGCTCACACCTGTAATCCCAGCACTTTGGGAGACAGAGGTGGGCAGAGCACGAGGTCAGGAGATTGAGATCATTCTGGTCAACATAGTGAAAACCCATCTCTATAAAATACAAAAAATTAGCCAGGCTTGGTGGTGCATGCCTGTAGTCCCAGCTACTCGGGAGCCTGAGGCAGGAGAATCGCTTGAACTCAGGAGACAGAGGTTGCAGTGAGCCGAAATCGCGCCACTGCACCCCAGCCTGGGAGACAGAGCAAGACTCCATCTCAAAATAAATAAATAAATAAATAAAGTCAACGTCCTTTCATTTAGCACCTGTAATCGCAGCATGTGTTATACTCTTTCTTTTTTTTTTTTTTTGAGACAGGGTCTTACTCTGCCACCCAGGCTGGAGTGCAGTGGAATGATTTGGGCCTCCCAAAGTGCTAGGATTACAGGTGTGAACCACTGTGCTCAGCCTACAGTCCTTACTATTATTCTTGTTATTGCAACAAAACCTCACAACAAGCTGGAAAGGTAGGTACTGTTACCCCCACTTAAATGTGAGAGAAGAGAAACTCAGAAAGATGATGTAACTCACCCAAGGCCTCATAGGTCCTGAATGACACAGTTAGGATTTGAACTTCATGAATCTAATCAAAGCCTATGCTCCTTTCCTTCCACTTATCCATTCATTTACCCAACAAACTTTTTTTTTTTTAATAGGGTCTTGCTGTTTGACCCAGGCTAGAGTATAGCAGTGCCATCATGGCTCACTATAGCCTGGAACTGTGCCATCTCCCAGGAGCCTGGAACTCCTGACCTCAAGTGAACCTCCTGCTTCAGCCTCCCAAGTAGCTGGGAGTACAGGCATGAGCCACTGTGCCCGGACAATAAACATTTTATTTTATTTTTTTTTTTTTTTTGAGACGGAGTCTCGCTCTGTCGCCCAGGCCGGACTGCGGACTGCAGTGGCGCAATCTCGGCTCACTGCAAGCTCCGCCTCCCGGGCTCACGCCATTCTCCTGCCTCAGCCTCCCGAGTAGCTGGGACTACAGGCGCCCGCCACCGCGCCCGGCTAATTTTTTGTATTTTTAGTAGAGACAGGGTTTCACTGTGTTAGCCAGGATGGTCTCGATCTCCTGACCTCGTGATCCACCCGCCTCGGCCTCCCAAAGTGCTGGGATTACAGGTGTGAGCCACTGCGCCTGGCCAAAGACTTCACCTTCTAAGCCAGGGGTCCACAGCCCCCAGGCCATGGGACCTGTACCAGTCCATGGCCTGTTAGGAACTGGGCAACAAAACAGGAGGTGAGCAGCCGGCAACCAAGCAAAGCTTCATCAGTATTTACAGACGCCCCCATCACTTGCAGTACTGCCTGAGCTCCACCTCCCGTTCAGTCAGCGGTGGCATTAGAGTCTCATCAGAACACAAGCCCTGTTGTGAACTGTGCGCACCAGGGATCTAGGTTGTGTGCTCCTTATGAGAATCTAATGCCTGAGGAGCCCTCACTGTCTCCCATCACCCCCAGGTGGCTTGCAGGAAAACAAGCACAGGGCCTCGCACTGATTCTACATTACGGTGAGTTGTAGAATTATTTCATTATATTTTAATATAATAATAGGAATAAATAAATAATAGGAATAAATATAATAATAGGTAATAATAATAGGAATAAAGTACACAATAAATGTAATATGCTTGAATCATCCTGAAACCATCCCCCCACCCCTCGTCCATGGAAAAATTGTCTTCCACGAAACTGATCCCTGGTGCCAAAAAGATTGAGGACCACTGATCTAACCTCAAGAATTTCCAAAGACTGTGTTCTGAAGAGGGGTTGGCTTCAAGGTTTAGGGCATCTGCAGCTTAGCAGAAAGCAGGACTGTGCATGTAACAGTGTTTATTTTATGTCATGAAGCAACTAAGAAGCTGGCTTCCTGTGTCTTACTCTAAGCAGGGAGAGTCAGCCACACTTGGATATGAATATTTTTTATCCCCTTTTTCTCACAAGTATAATTAGCTCTCTGGAAGTCTGTGGCGTCAGGTCTCATCTTGGCGACAGGATCTGTCCCGCTGCTGATTCTGGGGATGTGTTTAGAAGTGGTCATGAGGATAGAGATGGGGACCATGAGAATAAGCCAAGCAAGGCCATCACCACCATCACTGCCAAGCTACACGAATTACTGACAAACTTCAAGTCTGACACCCACTGTGCTCACGAAGACTCTATCTTATAGGGGATAAAGCCGCCCCTATATCCACAGCCAATGCACAGTGACTCAGGCACACCACCTAGTAAAATACTGAAATACCTCCAGTGAGTCTAGATCCACAGCCCCACCTCCACAGGTCCAGCTCCACCACTAATCTCTGGGGTCTCTCCCTAGATCTGCCACCCACCCCGCAGAATGACTGACTGCCCAGGATCCATCCAGCCAATGATTGACTCTTCTTTTTTTTTTTAAGACATAGTCTCGCTGTGTCACCCAGGCTGGAGTGCAGTCACGCAATCTCAGCTCACTGCAACCCCCACCTCCTAGGTTCAAGCGATTCTCCTGCCTCAGCCTCCCGAGTAGCCAGGATTACAGGCATGCGCTACCAGGCCTGGCTAATTTTTTTTTTTATTTTTAGTAGACATGGGGTTTCACTATGTTGGCCAGGCTCGTCTCAAACTCCTGTCCTCAAGTGATTCACCCACCTTGGCCTGCCAAAGTGCTAGGATTACAGGTGTGAGCCACTGAGCCCAGCCCAACAACTGATTCTTACTGTCTTCTTTATATTCTTCCAAATTTTTCAAATTCTCTACAAGGATGGCATGTTGCTGTTCTAATTTTAAGTTCTTCTTAGGGTACCATCACTTAAAAACCGAAAATGAAAACAATACAACAACACTGAAATAGAGCCAAAGAAAACAGACTATGAAACTTTGGGGTTTGTGTTGGTAACTTTCAGATTCAAGATCAACATATGACCCAACTTCTACAGGAAGCCTGCCCAAAAGATAACAGCTATGTTTCAAGAGGTGAATGTGACACTGACACTGAGGAGAAGGAAACGTGTTTTTTTGAGACGGAGTCTCATTCTGTCACCCAGACTGGAGTGCATTGGTGCGATCTCTGCTCACTGCAGCCTCCGGCTCCCAGGTTCCAGGGATTCTCCCACCTCAGCCTCCCGAGTAGCTGGGATTACAGGCATGTGCCACCACGCCCAGCTAATTTTTTTGTATTTTTTAGTAGAGGCAGGGTTTCACCATGTTGGCCAGACTGGTCTCGAACTCCTGACTTCAACTGATTGGTCCACCTCAGCCTCCCAAAGTGCTGGGATTACAGGCGTGAGCCACCCCAGCCAGCACAGAAGGAAACATTTTTAAAGCTATAATCTTTAGGCCGGGCGTGGTGGCTTACACCTGTAATCCCAGCACTTTGGGAGGCCGAGGCAGGCAGATCACGAGGTCAGCAGATCGAGACCATCCTGGCTAACACGGTGAAACCCTGTCTCTACTAAAAATACAAAAAATTAGCCGGGCATGGTGGCAAGCGCCTGTAGTCCCAGCTACTCGGGAGGCTGAGGCAGGAGAATGGCGTGAACCTGGGAGGCGGAGCTTGCAGTGAGCCGAGATTGCGCCACTGCACTCCAGCCTGGGCGACAGAGCGAGACACTGTATCAAAACAAAAACAAAAACAAAAAAAGCTATAACCTTTGCAACATCATAATTGCTCCTGTATGGATTAATGTGAGGTCTTTACTATAATATATACCAAGCAGCACACATTCTTATCTCATTTGGGATCTATAAAAAGTCCATAACGTAAGCAGGTGTCATTATCCCCATTTGACAAACAAGGTCATCAGGACTCAGAGAGGATAGGCCGGCTTGGTGGCTCACACCTGTAATCCCAGAACTTTGGGAGGCTAAGGTGGGTGGATCATTTGAGGTCAGGAATTCAAGACCAGCCCGGCCAACATGGTGAAACCCTGTCTCTATTGAACATACAAAATTAGCCTGGCGTGGTGGTGTATACCTATAATCCCAGCTACTTAGGAGGCTGAGGCAGGAGAATCGCTTGAACCTGGGAGGCAGAGGTTCCAGAGAGTCAAGATCGCACCACTGAACTCCAGCCTGGGTGACAGTGAGACTCCACCTCAAAAAAAAAAAAAGAATCAGAGAGGATAAAACCAAGATTCCATAGTTCTTCACTGGCAGAGCTGGGACTCAAACCCAGACTCCTGACCTCTGCTTCCTTCAGTGGTATGCCACAGCCACCTTCCAGCGACTCCTAAAAGTCTAAGTCAGGAATTTTGCAAGTAGGTTGTTAAACCATGGGGAGCTTGAAATCAGACCAGGTGGGAGTATTCACACCACAGAAATCAGCAAGAGCTACAAATCAGAACTGCCGTCCCACCAAGGCCAGTTTATCAGCACACAACTGACTCCAATGGCCTCCTTCTCTTCCCATACCATAACACATGCATGCACAGAGCGTGAGGTTTTGCTTTTTTTTTTAACATCAGTCAGTACTTCTCTATCCCATCAGCTCCACTAACTAGCTTGTTAGCAGCCTGATCAAATGAGAATGATGGCCATGCGTGGTGGCTCAGGCCTGTAATCCTAGTACTTCGGGAGGCCTAGGTGGGCGGATCACCTGAGGTCAGAAGTTCAAGACCAGCCTGGCTAACATGATGAAACCCCATCTCTACTAAAAATACAAAAAATTAGCCAGGTGTGGTGGTGCGTGCCTCTAATCCCAGCTACTAGGGGCGCCGAGGCAGGAGAATTGCTTGAACCCAGAAGGCGGAGGTTGCAGTGAGCCGAGATCATGCCACTGCACTCCAGCCTGGGCAACAGAGGGAGACTCCATCTCAAAAAAAAAAAAAAAAAAAAAAGAGAATGCGCATTGGAGTCAAGAGACTCCTAACTTTCTACATGCCTCTTAGCAACCTCTTCACCTGAGTCATTTAACTTCTCTGACCCTTCATGTCCTTGTCTGTTAAATGAGGTCAGTAATTGCTGCTCACTCACTAAGAGTCAGAAGGAATCATGGATGCAAAAACCACACTGCAAACCGTAAAACACCAAGCAGCTGTGGAAAACAGTATGGCGGTTCCTGAAAAAATAAAACACAGAATGACCATCTGATCCAGCAATTCCACTTCTGGCTATACACCCAAAAGAACTGGAGGCACGGGCTCAGACATTGTACACCCATGTTCACAGCAGTACAATTCACAACAGCCAAGAGGTGGAAGCAACCTGTGTCCATTAACACACGAATGAATAAACAAAAATTAGCCAGGTGTGGTGGCACACACCTGTGATCCCAGCTACTGGGGAGGCTGAGGCAGGGGAATCACTTGAACCTGGGAGGTGGAGGCTGCAGTGAGCGGAGATCGTGCCACTGCACTCCAGCCTGGGTGACAAAGCAAAACTCTGTTTAAAAAAAAAAAAAAAAAAAAAACCTTAGGAAACAAAAACTGTGTCTGAACTGAACATATATAGCCTTTTTTGTCAGTATCCTCTAAATAATACAGTGTAACAACTATTTACATAACATTTACATTGTATTGGGTATTACAAGTAATCTAGAGATGATTTAAAGTACATGAGAGAGGAGGCCGAAGAGGGCAGATCACCAGAGGTCAGGAGTTTGAGACCAGCCTGGCCAACGTGGTGAAACCCCATCTGTACTAAAAATACAAAAATTAGCTAGGCATGGTGGTGGGCACCTGTAATCCCGGCTACTTGGAAGGTTGAGGCAGGAGAATTGCTGGAACCTGGGAGGAGGAGGTAGCAGTGGGCCGAGACTGTACCACTGCACTCCAGCCAGGGCAACAGAGCAAGAATCCGTCTCAAAAACAAAACAAAACAAACAAAAAAAAAACAGGCCGGGTGCGGTGGTTCACGCCTGTAATCCCAGCACTTTGGGAGGCCGAGGCGGGCGGATCATGTGAGATCAAGAGTTCAAGACCAGCCTGACCAATATGGTGAAACCCTGTCTTCACTAAAAATACAAAAATTAGCTGGGTGTGCTGGCGTGCACCAGTAGTCACAGCTACTTGGTAGGCTGAGACAGGAGAATTGCTTGTACCCGGGAGGAAGAGCCTGCAGTGAGCCAAGATCGCACCACTGCACTCTAGCCTCCATGACAGAGTGAGACCCTATCTCAAAAAAAAAAAAAAAGGCCGGGCGGGGTGGCTCACGCCTGTAATCCCAGCAATGTGGGAGGCCAAGGCGGGTGGATCACAAGGTCAGGAGATTGAGACCATCCTGGCTAAGACAGTGAAACCCCGTCTCTACTAAAAATACAAAAAATCAGCCCAGCGTGGTGGCAGGCGCCTGTAATCCCAGCACTTTGGGAGGCCGAGGCGGGCAGATCAGGAGGTCAGGAGATCGCGACTATCCTGACTAACACGGTGAAACCGGGTCTCTACTAAAAATAAAAAAAATAAAAAATAAAAATTAGCCAGGCATCATGGCGGGCGCCTGTAGTCCCAGCTACTCGGGAGGCTGAGGCAGGAGAATGGCGGGAACCCGGGAGGCGGAGCTTGCAGTGAGCTGAGATGGCGCCACTGCACTCCAGCCTGGGGGACGGGGCGAGACTCCATCTCAAACAAACAAAAACAAAAAACAAAAAACAAAAAGTACATGGGAGGATGTGCAAAATTTATATGCAAATACTACACCATTTTATATCAGACACTAGAGCATCCTAAAATTTTGTTATCCGCGGCAGGTTGATTCTGGAACCAGCCCCCGGCAGATACCAAGGGATGACTGTATCACATGATTCTACTTCTATGTGGTACCTAAAGTAGCCAAATTCACTGAGACAGATGGTGGAACGGTGTGTATCAGAAGGTCAGGGAGGAGGGAGTAGGGAGTTAGTGTTTCATAGGTGGAGTGGAGGTTCAATGTGGGAAGATGAAAGAGTTCTGGAGATGGATGGTGGCGATGGTTGGACAATGCTGTAATGTACTTAACACCACAGAACTGCACACTTCAAAATGGTTACGATGGCAAGTTTTATACTATGTATTTTTTAAGCACACTTTTTTGTTTTTTGTCTTTTGTTTTAAGGAGCAGAGAGTTTAATAGGCAAGAAAGAAGGGGGAAGAAAGAAAGAAGCAGCTTCCCTGTACACAGACCGGCGGGGGGTAGGGGAGGCTCCAAAGCCAGGAGACGGAACCCCAAACTTAGGTAATATCAGCCAGCTATATTCAATGGCTGGAGGAGGCGTTTAACTATAATTTTTAAAAAACAGTCAAATAGGCCAGGAGCGGTGGCTCACACCTGTAATCCGAGCACTTTGGGAGGCCAAGACGGGTGGGTCATTTGAGGTCAGGAGATCGAGACCAGCCTGGCCAACATGGTGAAACCTCGTCTCTACTAAAAATACAAAAATTAGCCAGGCGTGGTGGTGGGCGCCTGTAATCCCAGCTACTCGGGAGGCTGAGGCAGGAGAATCACTTGAACCCAGGAGGCAGAGGTTTCCGTGAGCAGAGATTACGCCACTGCACTCCAGCCTGGGCCACAGAGCGAGACTCCATCTCAATTAAAAAAAAAAAAAAAAAAAAAAAAGGGCCAGGCACAGTGGCTCATGCCTGTAATCCCAGCACTTTGGGAGGCCAAGGCAGGCAGATCATAAGGTCAGGAGATCGAGACCATCCTGGCCAACATGGTAAAACCCCGTCTCTACTAAAAGTACAAAAATTAGCTGGGTGTGGTGGTGCATGCCTGTTATCTCATATACTCGGGAGGCTGAGGCACGAGAGTAGCTTGAACCTGGGAGGCAGAGATTGCAGTGAGCCAAGATCACACCACTGCACTCCTGCCTGGGTGACAGAGCAAGACTCCATCTCAAAAAAAAAAAAAAAACAGTCAAATAGGAAGTCTTGTTATTATATCCATTTGTCAAGAAGCTGAAAGCACCAAAGAAAGCCAACATTGTTTGTCCATCACGACTAGGGCCCCAAACTCCATTTTTACTGACCATGCTAACACACACCCAAAAAATCCAAAGAGCATAATTCTTGTACGTTATTGCCACATACAGGATGTCCCCAACTTATATGCAAAGTCTGTTCCAAGAGATCATTGAAAGCTTGTTGTTGCTGTTGTTGTTGTTTTGAGGCATATTTTCTTACAGAAGTGGAATTTTTCCTGGTGACGTGGACACTATTCCAACCTAAAGAAGCCCTGGCGTCCATGGTAGAGCTGTGACAGTATCTGCAGTCCCGGCCTGGCCCGGGAGAAAGAAAGAAAGATGGGAGAGGCAGCGACACAGCAGCCTCCCTTTCCAGAGCCCAGGACAGTTTAGGGCCCAATTTGGCAATAGTTGATGTAGGTTGGTTTACGGGTTCTATTCCCCAAAGCCTCAATGCATCATTACCACCTTGCCTCACTCAGCCCTCAACTCCCCAGTTTGCGACCCATTTGAGCCTCCCGGGACGAAATTACTTCTTCCTCCTTCTGCCTGCCATTCAAATGCTAATCAAGTATTGAGAAAAAGTTCTTTCCTTAAAATCACTTACATAGTAAATGACTGGCAGCCTCTCAACCTATTTTGAGGTATTTATATCTTCTCAAGTTTTAAGGCAAATTTGAAGCAGTCTTCTTTCAAGGTTAAGGAAGTATTAGCCCATAAATGGGAGGATATTTGGGGGCAGGGGACGCTGGCCTGCTGGTCACTCCGATACCTCCTGGCTTGGTACAGCTTCTCTTCTCTCCATCCACAAATTTTTCAAAGCTACAAAGGTCTAGGGTTTTTCTTTTTCACAACACTTTGGGCCTTGTACGAAGGGACAGGGTTGTGTGGGGAGGCAGGCAAGACTGTCACTTGAACATCAGAAACTGTCTGAGGTTTTATTTAATACGATACCTTTAGGATTCCATTTACAGCACCAAATCCAATTTATTGTAAAACCAATTTCAGTGATCTGTGTTGTGGTCATGAAAGAGAGAGAAAGGTCCTCTCAACAACTAGAAATACTGACTACTTTCAGCTGGAGGAGCTTTTTCTTCCTCTGCTCAGCCTGTGATAGAGGCACCAGTAAATCAAGATCCCGGACATTGTCTGGCTTCCACAGGGACTAAAATGGACAGGTCAAGAGGAGAAATCATGGCTGATTTGGAAATTAGCTCCCCAAGTGTTAACACTAACATCCTGTGACCTGGGACATTTAAAGTTTTTGAGATCTTCTCCCAACTCCCATGCAAAAATCCCCCAAAAGGGTATTTTAAATAAATGGTTACATATGCTTATGGGGTATATACATATGCATGCTGCCATTTTTAAATACTCTAGCATTAAAATAAATTCAGTACCTATAGGTTTTAAACTACAAAACTTCATGATGGTTAGACACTGTAAGTAAGTTCCTTGAGTCATCAAATCAAAACATGAGTTTCAATAAGAAACAAAGCAGAAAGACAAGGAATTTTCCAAAAAGAAAAGCATGTTGAATCAAAGAAAAGCCACAGGCTGCCTGCAGACCTCCATGCAGTGAGAAGCCACTCTTGCCCAGGCTGATGGAGAGAGGGACAGATTTTTTTAAAACCAGCTAAGGGTGCAGGGAGAGGTGCAGAGAAAAAAAAAAAAACCGAGAAGCTACCCAGGGGGAGGGCTGAGCCTGGGACACACAGCTAACTAGGTCACTCCAGCACCGGAGCTGGGCCAGAGGACGTTTCAGGCAGAGTCTTTTGCTTAATGCTAGCATTACATGAACTAATCACCCCTGTTGGGAGCAAATGTTGAATGGCTCAGCGGGCCTTCCAAATCTGTGGAAATGGCCTCTGAGGGGCAGGGATAAATGATAGAGAGCGGGCATTGACTGCACACACACCCACGTGCCACACACGGCTCTCAGTGGTTCCCGTGCACCCTCATTTCATCTTCACCACAAGCCTCACATTAGGTCCAAGTGTCATCCTGTTTTACAGATGAGGACATGAGGCTCAGAATGGTAAAATAATTGGCCCAAAGCCATACAGCTAGGAAGCTGTGGACCCAGGATTTCCACCCATATCCGTGTAACCTCCGAGCCTATGTTCTTAGCTACTCACTGTACCAGGAAGAACAACTGTGGATTGTTCTTCTCTGGCTGACTGAAGAATTGTTTATGATTGCTGAAACCATAAATTTTGGGGGAGGTTAAATATGCACCATCCTGCCTATTTGCAACAAGAGCTTCCAAAAAATCAATTTCCAACAGATACTGACGTGTTCTTCCCCAATGGAACCTGCCCCAAATGTCCAAGGGAAGCCAACCTCAGCTGCTGGAGGTAACTACAGCTTGATGACAGTTACTGTATATTCAATCCCAGTTATGTGCCAGGTACCTCACATATGTCACTGAATCCTTACAACAATCCCACAAGGCAGCAACTCCTATCTCCCTCTTAAACTCAGAGAGATTAAGGAATCTATCCAGAGGCATTCAGCTATGAATGCCTGCACCAGAACGATCTTTCTGTTATGTTACGTTGCCTCCTTTACCCGGCCTCAGCAAATATACCCTATCAAAGGCTTGCTCTCAAGGTTCAGTGTTCACCAGGAGACAGAATCCCCCATTTCTTTTTTCTTTTATTTTTTGAGACAGAGTCTCACTCTGTCGCCCAAGCTGGAGTGGAGTGGCACAATCTCGGCCCACTGCAACCTTCGCCTCCCAGGCTCAAGCGTTTCTCACGCCTCAGCCTCCCGAGTAGCTGGGATTACAGGCATGCAACACCATGCCGGCTAATTTTGGTGTTTTTAGTAGAGACGGGGTTTTACCATGTTGGCCAGGTGTTGAACTCCTGACCTCAGGTGATCCACTCGCCTCAGCCTCCCAAAGTGCTATGATTACAGGCATGAGCCACTGTACTGGGTCCCTCATTTCTTTTTTCTTTTCTTTCTCTATGGGGACACGGTCTCTCTCTGTCACCCAGGCTGGGGTGTAGTGGTACCATCATAGCTCACTGCAGCCTCAACCTCCCAGCCTCAAGTGATCCTTCTGCCTCATTCTCCCAAAGTGCTGGGATTACAGTTGTGAGCCAGCACTCCAGGCTGGAATCTCTCCATTTCTAAGTCCTGCTGAAAGATTTGGAAAAACAGCACAAGACACAGAGAACAGATAGCTGAAGATATAAAATGAACTTGGTCTGTGGCGGAATGAACTTGACCTACGGCATGTATTTGGAGGTGACCTTTGATCTAACTGGAGCCTGAATAATCAATACACTGCATAATAAACCAAAAAAAAAGAAAAGAAAAGAAAATCAAGTGAGATCTAATAAAAAACTACCCCGGAGAAAAAGAAATCTCCCTCACCACAGAAAGTCAAAGGGGCATAGCCAACGTGAACCGAGATCAGGCTGGAATCTTTCCCGGAGTCCACGTGTCCTCCTGCACTAAATAAGCACGGAATTGACCATCTTGCATCAGGAAAATAACGTGGGTCCGCTGACTCGGGCACCAGCTTCATGGTGGCTGCCTATAAGCAGTTCCTTCATTAATTAAAGAAACATAATGGCCGAGTGCAGTGGCTCATGCCTGTAATCCCACCACTTTGTGAGGCTGAGGTGAGCAGATCACTTGGCGTCAGAAGTTTTAGACCAGCCTGGGCAACACGTTGAAACATAATCTCTACCAAAAATACAAAAATTAGCTGGGCGTGGTAGTACGCGCCTGTAGTCCTACCTACTCGGGAGGCTGAGGCAGGAGAATCACTTGAACCCGGGAGGCGGAGGTTGCAGTGAGCCAAGATCACGCCACTGCACTCCAGGCTGGGTGACAGAGTGAGACTCCGTCTCAAAAAAAAAAAGCAAACACCTGTAATCCCAGCTACTCAGGAGGCTGAGGCAGGAGAATCGCTTGAACTCGGGTGGCAGAGGTTGCAGTGAGCCGAGACTGGACCACTGCGCTCCAGCCTGGGCGACAGAGCAAGACTCTGTCTCAGAAAATAAAATAAAAACTTAAAAAGTAAAAAAAGAAAACATATCCCCGGTGGGCAAGTTGACCAGTAATGTGACAAATCTCCGCTGGACCCATGCCTAAGCCCTCCCAGAGGAGAGAGGAGGAGAAGCAGGAGGAGAGAGATTGAAGGGGATTTAAGGAGATTTATTTGGGGAAAGGAAAGATTAAAGAGATTTACAGAGACCCAGCCAAAGGAAAACTCAACAAGTTAACCCTTGAAATCCTCCCCTGAGAGCACACAAATCTCCACCTGGCACCAGCAAACCTAATTACTGTCCATTCAGTGGCCAAGTTCGAACCAGAAATTTGTACTTGAGACACAGTCATCATTAGCTTCTCTGGGAACAAGCTCTACCCAAACTCCCACTTCCCAAATCTCATTTTACTAATCAATAAGGACACTGAAGTTTGTTATCTTCACCTTTTCTTTTTTTTTTTTTTTTTTTTTTGAAATGGAGTCTCACTGTGTCACCCAGGCTGGAGTGCAGTGGCACAATCTCAGCTCACTGCAATCTCCACCTCCAGCATTCAAGCGATTCTCCTGCCTCGGCCTCCGGAGTAGCTGGGACTACAGGTGCACAGCACCACACCCAGCTAATTTTCTGTATTTTTAGTAGAGACGAGGTTTCACCACGTTGGCCAGGCTGCTCTCGAACTCCTGACCTCAAAAGAGGAGGTACCTCAAAGTCCCTCTGAGAATTTCACCTTCAAATTCAGAAATCCCTCCCCAGGGGAGCCCAGAAGCCCAAGGCTGTGTGCTTGCCCGTTTCCAGAGCCTCCCAGCACACGGGCACCCATAATGTGTAGACAGAGCAGGTGCTCCGAGAATTCCTGGGGAAACTGAACAAAACCACCAAATGAACTGTTCGTCCAAGCCCAGGTCCTTGGGGAATCTCACACCCCACATCCAGTCCACCAGCAATTCCTACCAGCTCCACCTTTAAAACACATCCGGAATTCGGCCAGGTGAGGTGGCTCACGCCTGTAATCCCAGCACTTTGGGAGGTGGGGGCGGGCAGATTTTTTTTTTTTTCTTTTTGAGACGGAGTCTCACTCTGTCGCCCAGGCTGGAGTGCAGTGGTGCAATCTCGGCTCACTGCAAAATCCCAGGCAGGCTCCCACATCAGGCACTTGCCCTTGTGGCCGCCTTTGACCGGAAGAGTCTACGTTCAGACAGCCCCATGGCTCTTTCCAGGTCTGCATTCAAGCGTCACCTCAAGCTGCCATCACCCCACCCCACACATCCCCTTTGGCTCTTGGTTCCTGCCTAACCTGCAGCTTCTAACGTGCTGTTCCTTTCCCTTCTTTGCCCCTTGTATTTTCTGTGGCTCCAGGAGAGCAGGCATTCTCGTCTGCTCACTGCCGTCTCCTCGGTGCCTAGAATATAGCAGGTGTTCAACCGATATTTTTAAATGTATGAGAGGCTGAATTTATATCACGCCTCAAAACAAGAGGACTGGGGAATCCAAACATCTAAAGAAGACTGCAGCGGGGATACCCTCGGGGAGAAGTCTAGGGGCTTCCCACCCCTCCTTTTTTCTCAGTAATGTTCTTCCTAATGCTTCTCACGGACTCTCAAATTCTAAGTAACCCCAGAAAAACAACTATGAAATTCACCAGTCAAATATACAAACCACCTCGAGTGTTTGTGCATTCTCTCCCCCACCACACACACATACACACGCACGCGCGCGCACACACACACACACGCACACACAAACACATATACACCAAAAAAGAAAAGTTGAGTCTGTTTTCCATCTGGACTTTCAGACAAACCAATCATCTGTGTCCTTAATAGGTGTATTTATTGGGCAATTTCAGAATAAGTAGCATAGTGTGAGATGAGTGGGAAAAGACGGTGCTTGACCCACGGAAGTTTCTATTTATAGTCTTCCTAAAGCAGCATCCAGCAGGCACTCATTTAATGAAAAAGGAGACACACTGCTATTGACACAAAGTGAGATCAGGGTGCTGGTCCTGAGCTCTTATTGTGCTACTAGTACAGTCACAAAAATGTCCCTCCAGAGCTAAGTGCAGTGGCCCGTGCCTGTCATCCCAGCACTTTGGGAGCCCAAAGTAGGAGGATCACTTGAGGCCAGGAGTTTGAGACCAGCCTGGGCAACACAGCAAAACTCTGTCTCTACAAAAAAATAAAAAAGTTAGCCAGGCATGGTGGTGCACACCTGTAGTCCTGGCTACTCTGGAGGTTCAGGAAGGAGAATCACTTGAGCCCAGGAGTGTGAGGCTGCAGTGAGCTATGATCGCACCACCGCACTCCAGCCTGAGTGACAGAGCAAGGCTCTGTCTCAAAAAAAAAAAAAAAAAATTTTCCTCCAAACAGAAATGAGCTGCACCTAGCCACACAAGGAAAGCCCCTCGGGAACAAAAGCAAGTGCCCTCCTTACACAGGGAGCCACAGAATCTTAGGGTTGCAAGGGTACTTGAAAATTTTCTCATCGGCTGGGCGCGGCGGCTCACGTCTGTAATCCCAGCACTTTGGGAGGCCGAGGCAGGCGGATCACGAGGTCAGGAGATCGAGACCGTCTTGGCCAAAATGGTGAAATCCCGTCTCTACTAAAAAATACAAAAAAATTAGCCGGGTGTGGTGGTGCTACTTGGGAGGCTGAGGCAGGGGAATCGCTTGAACCTGGGAGGCGGAGGTTGCGGTGAGCTGAGATCCCGCCACTGCACTCCAGCCTGGTGACAGAGCAAGACTCTATCTCAAAAAAAAAAAAAGAAAAGAAAAGAAAATTATCTCATGTTCCCTGTTCCCCACCCCCAACCTGCCTTGATTTTATAGATGAAGAAACTGAGACAGGGAGAAGGTAATGTAGGTCAATGTCCAAGCAGTCCACAGGCCACAAAACCCCTCATGGCTGAACCAGACCTAAAACCCAGTCTCAAATCCTCCACGATGCCTTGTCCAGCCATCTACAGACAGGAACAACTTCAACTTCAAATGCTCAGTCTACACGAAAAACATGCATTCATATCCCGCGGAGATGAAGATCCATTTTCTAGGGCATGCCATGTTCTGTACTCCAGGGGAAATGAGGTTTGTTGGGAGACTCATTCTGCCACGTGCCAAGTACCCAGGCCTTTCCATTCACATACATTTCACAGCCTGGAAATTGCAGAAGTGACTTCTATGAGTCTAGGGTGCTTCCTAGACACCACACCGAAGCTTTCCTCCCATCCATATACTTCTCCGAATAGTATTTTAGGGGTTTTTTTATTTTTTGCTTCAGTAGTCACTGAAAGATAGCTACGATAGGGACGGCCTGAACAGCCTTGGCAAATACACCAACAGAAATGTGTACCCCTCCTAATTTGCCATTACATAACATTTATTTGTTCTCATAGTGTGCCAAGGGTCTGAAAACATGTTGATTAATAGACAATAATTAAGTCTCACCACCTTATTCAGAGATATGGTTATGTTCTGGGATTCCCTTTTGTAGGAGGCTGCACTGAAGCGCACAGGTTGAAAGGTTTGTCCCTGAGACCTGACTCAGAGGTGCATCAGACAACCCAGGCCAGACCACAAAGCCCAGTCCTTTCTCTTATGCTGCTCTTTGCTTCCTCAATCTCATTTTCCACCCTCCTGGGCCAACCTTCACTCCCATTCGGCCCCCACTCTCCAGCAAGGTCCCTCTAACCATACAGCCTAACCGCCTTGACCCCTTAGCTTCCAACAGTAAATGCTCGGCTCCATGAGGTGAGATACCTGGATAAGGCAGTGGATATCAGATTACAAAGTCTGGCAAAATGAGTGCTCCTCCAGCCTTTGCAATGCTTTATTTTAAATACATGTGAACATTGTGAGCTGACAGCCCTGCTTCTTACAAGGCTTTCCTGCCTTCGTATCTTAAAGACGTAGGGAGAAAGTAGGGCAAACAAAGTGACTGGAACTGCGGCATACTTTGGAAATGAATGCCAGTGGTTAATTGTCGATGCCTTTCATTTGTGTTAGATTTCATTCAAAACAAGAGAAGGGCCCAGACTCAAAATCCCCACTGAAGGGACCAGAAGTCAACTCCACATTAAGACTCGGGCCAGAGTCACCGGTCATGGCCCAGGGTGGAGCAGGCATCTTGAACTGGGGACCACTTCTAGAAAGTACACAGAGGCGGCTGGGCGCAGTAGCTCACGCCTGTAATCCCAGCACTTTGGGAGGCCGAGGCAGGCGGATCATGAGGTCAGGAGATCGAGACCATCCTGGCTAACACGGTGAAACCCCGTCTCTACTAAAAATACAAAAAAATTAGCCAGGCATGGCGGCGGGCGTCTGTAGTCCCAGTTACTCGGGAGGCTGAGACAGGAGAATGGCGTGAACCCATGAGGCAGAGCTTGCAGTGAGCCGAGATTGCGCCACTGCACTCCAGCCTGGGCAACAGAGTGAGACTCCGTCTCAAAAAAAAAAAAAAGAAAGTCCACAGAAGCAAAAGGACGACAATCCAAAAGCTCTGAAATGCTTCCAAGTTTTCCAAGTTTAGATAACATTATGCTATCATTATTGCCATCATTATGTTTTCTCATTTATTTTATTTTATTTTTTTGAGACCGAGTCTCACTCTGTGGCCCAGGCTGGAGGGCAGTGGCGCAATCTCAACTCACTGAAATCTCTGCCTCCCCAGTTCAAGCGATTCTCCTGCCTCAGCCTCCCGAGTAGCTGGAATTATAGGCACACACCACCACACCCGGCTAATTTTGTTATTGTTAGTAGCAACAGGGTTTCACCATGTTGGCCAGGCTGGTCTCGAACTCCTGACTTAAGTGATCAGCTCGCCTCAGCCTCCCAAAGTGTTGGGATTACAGGTGTGAGCCACCACGCCCAGCCCATTATGTTTTCTTTACATTAATATTAAAGTTCGCGTTCCAAATACTAAAGTTAAGTCAAATTATTGACTAAGCATTGGCCATTACAGGATCTACAAAGTGTGTCAACCCTGTATGGACAATCAAAAGTTGCTCTGCCTATCTGTGAATACCAGCTCCGCCACTTAATAGTTAGCTAAGGTTTGGTAGCTCACATAATTATCTCTGCTGCCTTAGTTTTCTCATCTGCAAATTGGGTGTAATGGTAAATACCTACCTCATAAGGTTACTCTGAGATTTAAATGAGTTAATACACATAAGGCACGTAGAATAATACCTGATCCTGGGTATACATTTCAGAATACCACCTATGATTACCATGATTATTATGTGGAGTAAAAACATCTTGATCATCACACTGTTTCTATCATTCTTCTAGGTCCAATGCCAGTGCTACAGTGGGAAGCTCCTTTGCAAAGAATTCCATCCCAGGCAGAAGGCAATGCTTTAGGACCCTAAGAGAGACCCATTCCCAAAGCTCACAGGGAACATGGCTGGAGTCCAAGAGGCTGTTCTGCCAGAGAAGCGCTCTGGCACCAGAGGGCAAATCCCCATTTTTCCCCAAGGTGGAAACCACCCACAGTCATCTCCAAACACCATGCTCCAGCAGGAGCCACAGCTTGGAGCCTCAGCAGCCCCGCCACTGCAGAGGTGCAGCTGCACGAGTCAGTCAGGGGACAGGGCATCAGTCACCCGGAGGCTACAGGCAGGAAGCCAGTGTGGGGGGCTCGGGTGGGAACAAGCCACGGACAGGAAAGCATTCACACAGGGTGGGTCCCCATGCTCTCCCATCTCCTCATTGGCGGCCACAGTGCGGGTCCTGGATGACAAGCAAAGGCCATGCTTTCTTGTCTCTCAGTAACTTGAGCATCTCAGAATCACAACCCCAAACCCGAATAAACCTCAGTGGCAATTTTCAAAAGTTTTGACCCAAACTAACCCCTTACCTGGCTGCACTAAGAGGCAACCCCAAACCCCTATTTATTAAAAAGCTACATCTTTTTCTGTTTTCATTCCAACAAAGATAGCAAATAGGTGCCCTCCCTGAAAGGCAACAACCACAGCAGGGAGACCCCACTCTAGTCCTCAGCGTGCGCCTTCCCGGGAATCAGAAGCAGGACTGGGAAAGCCACCCTCACAACTTCTCTCCGGGGGACCCCCTGCAGATCTGCGTGGGGGTGAGGGGAAATGACTGAACAGCAGCAGACGCCGAGCCTGGAGGTGAAGACAAGCTGGGTAATGTGGTGCTGGAAAAAAGAAACCAAGCACAAAAACAAGCACACGGAAAAAAAGGAGGAAGGAAAGAAAGGGCACCCAACAACGCACTGATTTATCCCATGAAATAGCTCCCCTTTCTCTTCCCAGCCTAATCAACACCTCCATGAACCCCTGCAAAATGGGCATTTCTGACTGCACACCTGTGCGTGAATCCACACTGACAGATACTGATGCAGAGCAAATACTGATTGTGTGAGGGAAGGAAATAACTTGAACTTCAGACTCATTCGGCAGGTCCTGATTCTCTTTCACTATCAGCCTCCCCACCTATTCTGAGCCGCTCCGAAACAAAACAAACAAGACCCAACTCCTGGGCAGAAAGGGAACAGCAGCTGAGCTGAGCAGCACATGCTTGGAGCGTTCCTGCCATCGACTTCGGATTATTTCTGCTTTCTTGAGACACAGCCATCAGCATGGGACTCGATGCAGCCCGGAGAGAGCACCGCCCGCGCAGCGACGCGCACAGACCCTCCCTTGGAGACGCGCTCCCCGGCGCGTGCGGCCGAGCCCGCGTGAAATGCACAGACCCTCCGGTGAGGCTCTGCCCACGTGTGACCCTGAGCACTGCGAAGCCCTTCCCTTCCATCCTCGCGTGGCCACCCAAAGTCTTGCCTACACCTCGTACGTGCAGATGCCAATTCCATAGAAATACATGATGTAAGGACAGAAATGGGAACGACTGGAGGCTGATCTTCTCGTGACCACGTCTCGCCAACGCGGTGCGCCCATGCACACGGCGAGTAAACGCACACAGCCGGTAAACAGCCATCCCCACCATGCTCAGCCCACAGTCACGCGTGGGGAGAAGGCAGCGGAGAGGGCGGCGGTGGCAGGAGAAGTGGGAAGTCGCGCGCCCGCGTGGGCTGCTCCCTGACAGCCCGGCGCTGCCCCCTCCCCCTCCCGGGAACGGCGCCCACCCGGGGGTCGCAGGCCCACGCGTCGGGCGCGCTCGGGGGGGCTCCGCAGCGCCGAGAACGGGACAATGAGGACGCGGTGACAGGCTGGGTTTCTGCCGCGGTAGTGGCGGCGGCGGCAGCTGGAGCTGCCCGTGCAGCCCCTGCCGCGGCCACCTCCACCCTCGCCTCCCCGGTCCCCACTTACGTTCCGAGGGTCTCTTTGAACTCGAAGATCTTCTTGATGTCTTCAGCTTGCTTTTTCCAGGAGGAGCTGCTCTCGCCGTTCTCCCGGGCCATGGCCGACGAGCGCGGCGCGGAGGAGCGGCCGGGGGCGCGCTGGGGAGGGGGCGCCGGGGGCGCGGCGCGGGCGCAGAGGCGGCGGGGATGCCGGGCGGCTCGGGCTGCGGCGCAGCTTCCTCCTCTGCAGTTTCCTCTTTCGCTCTCGCCGCCGCCGCCGCGGCCGCGGTCCCTCCCTGGCTCTTATTTCTGCTGTTCTCGGGCACAGACTTCCTGCCGCCGCCGCGCGCCGGCTCCTTTGCCGCCGCCTGCCAGCCTCACTTTCTGCTACTTTCTTGCCTCCCTCCCGCTCCCTCCCTGCCGCCCGCCGCGCTCCCCCCCACCTCGCGCCTCCTCCCCCTCCTCCCCCTCCTCCCCCTCCCGCGGGCTCCCCGCCCTCTCCGTGCGCCCCGGCCGCTCCCCGCCTCCAGCGCGCCGCCTTCGGGGATGTCCCGCTCCCCTCCCAAGAGCGCCGGGCCACGGCCGTCGTGCCCCCTGGAGCCCCGGCGAGGGCGGGTACGGGCCCCCGGCAGGTGCGGGGCGCACGCGGGAGAGCCCCAGCCCCTCCGGGAGCTGGAAACGGAGCCCAGTCTGGGGGCGCCGGGGCTTTCCCGTCTCCGGCGGGAGGGGGCGCCTCTGCGTGGCTCGGAAGCGCCGGGCGGGCGGGGGTGCGCGGCGGCCGGATGCGGGGCGCCGAGGGCGGGGCGCCTTCCCGCGCTGTGGCCTGTGGCCCGGGGGACCCGAGGGGCAAGGCGTGGGGTGGGGGGGGTGGGGGCCGGTTGTTATGGCGACGGGCGGCGGCGGCGGCTGGGATGGAGGCGGAGGCGGGCGGGAGCTCATTCGCATTGCACCAAATCGGTTTCACGTCAGTTTCGGGACAGACCCGCGAGGAGCAAGCCGGGGAGCCTCTGGGCGGGTACGCGCAGGACGCGCCAGCAGCTGCCTCGTGGTCCCTTTGCGAGCAAAACTCCCGGGGGTGTTTGGCAGCCGCGCGGGCGCCCTGGTGCTGGGCTGGAGCGGCCGGCGGGCCTGGCCGGCCTGGTTGCCCTGGCTCACGCTTGGCCCCTTCTGGCATCTCCCTGTCTCCTCCCAGAGACTCAGTGGAAAGAAGTGATCGTCTGCCCCGCAGTCCCCTCGAAGGAGGAGCCCACCCGCGGCTGGCTTAGTAGGGTGTCCGGGTTGCGGGGCAGGCACCTGCTTTCCTATGGACTGCCAAAACTAACCCAGAGAATTCCCTCCGGACTCCCATCTCCCAGCTGTACTTTGGCCTGCCCGCCCCACTCCTGGTGTCCACCTGTCAGAGGGCAGCCCACGTGCTCCAGTTCCCTGGTCCCCAACCTGCAGGGGCGACCTCTTGATCGGAAAATTTTAGATTTCTTGGTATCAACACTTCGCCTCCCTCAGGGCCTCTCCTCGTAGTTGGGTAAACAGCTCTGTCTCTTGACTGGGGACACCTGTCCCATTTTCCCAGGACTGTTCCAATTTCACTGTAAAAGGAAAAAAAAAATCTGCTCCCTGAATAGGAAACTTCATCCAGCACCTTGTGCCTAGTTCTGACTCTGGCTGAAGTGGAGGCAGCCCAGCTGCTCTCCCTCAGCCCCTACTCTGACCCTAAAGAGGTCAGACGACACCCTGGCATCCCCATTCCTGGGACCTCCATGCTAGTTTCCATCTTTCAAAGACGGTTAGCTTAAGGTTTTCCAAACTGAGAAGAGCAAAGAGGGGATTTACTTGCCGGTTAGATGTAGAATAAATCCACAAACCCAATTTCCAACACGGATGGGTGAGAAGAATTACTAAGGAACCTCTCTTATACTTGAGGCACATTACCAAAGTTCAAGGCAAACAGCATCCCCTTCAATAAGAAACATTTGAAAAACTATCATGTATTTTACTTGTGCCAAAGGTTAGATAATACAAACAGTGGGAACCAGGGCATAAGTCAACTAAGATCCCAACTGTCGCTTTCTCATGCCTACAGTCAGCATCTTCTTGTCCTTTCTTTCTCCTTCCCTTCCTCCCACTGTGTTTCCTTCTCCTCTTTTCCTATTTGGTTCTCTGCTATGTTGCCCTTGCTGCCTGGCCTCAGGAACAGCCGCCAGAGCTCATGAAAACAATTCTCATTCTCAGCTATTATCCCCACAGCTGAAGAAGTGCTGATTCTCTACTACCCGGCCATAAAAAAGAATGAAATCATGTCTTTTGCAGCAACGCAGTTGGAACTGAAGGCCATTATCTTAGGTGAAATAACTCAGAAACAGAAAGTCAAATACCACATGTTCTCACTTAGAAGTGAGAGCTAAGGCTAGGCATGGTGGCTCACGCCTGTAATCCCAGCACTTTGGGAGGCCTAGGCCAGTGGATCACCTGAGGTCAGGAGTTCAAGACCAGCCTGGCCAACATGGTGAAACTCTATTAAAAATAAAAATTAGCCAGGCATGGTGGCACATGCCTGTAATCCCAGCTACTCAGGAGGCTGAGGCAGGAGAATCACTGTAACCTAGGAGGTTGCAGTGAGCGAAGATTGCACCATTGCACTCCAGCCTGGCGACAGAGCAAGACTCCATCTCAAAAAAAAAAAAAGGAGAAGAAGTGGGAGCTAAATAATGTGTATATGTGGACAGAGAGTGTGGAATAATGACATTGGAGTGGGGTAGGGGAAGGGATGAGAAATTAACTAATGGGCATGGTGTACCCTATTCTGGTGATGGTTAAGCTAAAAGCCCAGACCTCACCACTACGCAATATATCCATGTAACAAAACTGCACTTGTACCCCTAAATCTATAAAAATAACCATTAGAAAAAAAGAAAGAAGGCAATTTTACAGGAACAGTAAAGATGAAGGGAAAGCAAATGAGAACTTCCACGTGGCCTGTGGCCGTGACTTTTCCTACCAGGCTATAAGCTCCATGAGAGCAAGGCACCTGTTAACTTTCTCGCCACTGTTTCCCAGCACCTGACACGGTAACCTACCCATACTGACTGATCTGTAAATGTGTGTCGAATGGATAAAGAAATGAAATTGAGGCCAGGCGTGGCAGCTCACGCCTGTAAAATGCCAGCACTTTAAGAGGCAGAGGCAGGCGGATCACCTAAGATCAGGAGTATGAGACCAGCCCGGCCAACATGGTGAAACCCTGTCTCTGCTAAAACTACAAAAATTAGCCGGGCGTGGTGGTGTGCGCCTGTATCCCAGCTACTCAGGAGGCTGAGGCAGGAGAATCACTTGAACCCAGGAGGCAGAGGTTGCAGTGAGCCGAGATCATGCCACTGCACTCCAGCCTGGTCAACAGAGTGATATTCTGTTCAAAAAAAAAAAAAAAGAAAGAAATGAAATCGAGTTAAGACCGCTATTTGGTATTTGTTGTACTGGTGGAACTGCTGTAGGGAGCTTTATTTCTTTTCCAGACTTTCTGTAATGATGTTCATTTGGCATTATCAAGCTATTCTAAGCTGGACGAGGTCCTCAAGAAAAAGCATACTTCTTTTTTTTCTTTATTTTCTTTTTTTTTTTTTTAAGACAAATTCTTGCTCTGTCGCCACGGTAGAGTGCGGTGATCTCAGCTCACTGTAACCTCCACCACCCAGGTTCAAGCGATTCTCCTGCCTCAGCCTCCCGAGTAGCTGAGACTACAGACACGTACCACCATAACTGACTAATTTTTCTACTTTCAGTAGAGATGGGGTTTCTCCATTTTGGCCAGGCTGGTCTCAAACTCCTGACCTGAAGGGATCTGCCCACCTCAACTCCCCAAAGTGCTGGGGTTACAGGGGTGAGAAACTGCACCTGGCCAAGACACAAACTTTTTTTTTTCCAGAGTCTCGCTCTGTCGCCCAGGCTGCAGTGCAGTGGCGTGATCTCAGCTCACTGCAACCTCCACCTCCCGGGTTCAAGCAATTATTCTGCCTCAGCCTCCTGAGTAGCTGGGACTACAGGTGCGTGCCACCACACCTGGCTAACTTTTCGTATTTTTAGTAGAGACGTAATCCCAGCTACTCAGGAGTTCAGGACCAGCCTGGCCAACATGGTGAAACCCCGTCTCTACTAAAAATGGAAAAATTGGCCGGGCGCAGTGGCTCACGCCTGTAATCCCAGCATTTTGGGAGGCCAAGGTAGGTGGATCATGAGGTCAGAAGATCGAGACCATCCTGGCTAACACGGTGAAACCCTGTCTCTACTAAAAAAAAAAAGAATACAAAAAAATTAGCCGGGCGTGGTGGCAGGTGCCTGTAGTCCCAGCTACTCAGGAGGCTGAGGCGGGAGAATGGCGTGAACCCGGGAGGCGGAGCTGGCAGTGAGCCAAGAGCGTCCACTGCACTCCAGCCTGGGTGACAGAGGGAGACTCCGTCTCAAAAAAAAAAAAAAAAAAGCTGGGCATGGTGGCACGAGCCTGTAGTCCCTACTACTAGGGAGGCTGAGGCAGAAGAATCGCTTGAACCCGGGAGGCAGAGACTGCAGTAAGCCGAGATCGCACCACTGCACTCCAGCCTGGTGACAGAGCAAGACTCCATCTCAAAAAAATAAAAAAATAAATTAGCCGGGCATGGTGGCATACGCCTGTAGTCCCGGCTACCTGGGAGGCTGAGGCACGAGAATCACCTAAACCTGGGAGGTGGAGGTTGCAGTGAGCGGAGATCGCGCCACTGCACTCCAGCCTGGACACAGAGGGAGACTCCGTCTCAATAAAATAAAATAAGTTGGGCATTATGCTCTCCATTAAATATATTGTTTGACAACACTCTTAAGTTGGGGGTGGGTGGGGCTCTTCTCACAAATGCTGTAAAAACTGTTAGCACCTTAAATTGTGTCCTCAGTTCCTAGAAATAGTAGAGAGTTACTGGAGCTCATTTCTTATACACTGCTGGTTAACATAAGTTGTTGATGGTGTGCACTAGAATCTACACCAAGGAAACACGTAACTAAATGAGGAATCACACAAAACTGCCACCTTTGCAAAAAGCAGTCTGTCACTGAGGCAACAGGAAGACAAAGAACTCAGCACTGTAGTTTCAGATTTCTTTTGGAAGAGGTAAAGACTAAAGGAATCTTCTAACCTGGGTCATAAGAAAACTGAGCATCACCCAAGGAGAATTCCAGCTAGCCTGGAAGTCCAGGGCCCGCTCCTTAGCATGAACCTCTTGAAAGCAGCTGTTCATGCAGGAATGCATCTAGTTCAAAGATGATGAAAAATCAACAGCACAACATCTTTATGAAATTCCTCCAATTGAAAAAAAAAAAAAAAAAAAAGGCCGGAGGGGAGCTCTGGTAATGCA
The DNA here is from genome assembly GCF_000001405.40 of Homo sapiens. NCBI lineage: Eukaryota > Metazoa > Chordata > Mammalia > Primates > Hominidae > Homo > Homo sapiens. Next base: position 12,344,563 of record NC_000010.11, on the reverse strand, counting down.
GGCCTAGTAAAAAAAAAAAAAGAAAGAAAAAAAAAAAGAAGGGAAGGAAGGAAGAAAAAAAAGCAAAGAAATAGGAAACAAATAGCAGTGGAGAAACAACACAAGAAAAACTTTGCTGGAGAATAGATAAAATTTGTGTTCAAACATGTCATAATTTATTTTAACTTAAAATATTGAATTTAAAGCAAAGATGCAGTTGCTCAGGGAAGACGGGGCAAAGCAATAGAAGGAATTCAAACATCAGCTGGAGTTGCTCAAGAAAGAAGCAAGGGCCGGGCACAGTGGCTCATGCCAGTATTCCCAGCATTTTGGGAGTCCGAGGCGGGCAGATGGACTGAGGTCAGGAGTTCGAGACCAGCCTGGCCAACTTGGCAAAACCCCATCTCTACTAAAAATACAAAAATTAGCTGGGTGTTGTGGCGGACGCCTGTAATCCCAATTACTAGGGAGGCTGAGGCAGGAGAATCACTTGATACCAAGAGGCAGAGGTTGCAGTGAGCCGAGATCATGCCACTGCATTCCAGCCTAGGCAACAGAGTGACAGACAGAGTGACAATCTCAAAAAAAAAAAAAAAAAAAAAAAGAAAGGCCAGGTGAAATGGCTCATTCATGCCTGTAATCCCAGCACTTTGAGAGACCAAGATGGGAGGATTGCTTGAGCCCAAGAGTTCAAGACCAGCCTGGATAACATACTAAGACCCCATCCCTACAGACAATTTTTAAATTAGCCAAGTGTAGTGGCACACGCCTGTGGTCCCAGCTACTTGGGAGGCTGGGCTGGGAGGCTTGCTTGAGCCCAGAAAGTGAAGGCTGCAGTGAGCTATGAACATGCCACTACACTCCAGCCTCAGTGAGAGAGCAGAAAAAAAAAAAGAGGCAAGAAATAAAATACTATAGATATAAAGACTACATTGGAAATGGCAAAAGGGCAAAAGGAAAATTGCAAAAAAAAAAAAAAACAAAACGACTCAAAAGAAATAGAGAACACAATCAAAAATGGGGGGAAAATAAGATGGGAATGAGCAAGATTAACTAGAAAATTATATGAAACAAATAGGAAGCTCAATTTATCCACAAATGGGATACCTTATGAAGAGACTGAAATGAAGCAATAAAAAGTATTTAAAGATATTATTCAAGAAAATCTTCCAGAAATAAAAGCTTAAATCCACAGACTGAAGAGGCACATTATGTATCAGAAAATACATGGGTGGTTAATATCAAGATATGTCCTAGTAAAACTACTTATCTCCAAAGAAATAATCCTTCCATTTTCTCAGGGAAAAAAAAAAAACGAGTCACGTATATTGGTGAAAAAAATCAGTGGCATAATCATAGCTCACTGTAACTTCAAACTCCTGGCCTCAAGTGATCCTCCTGCCTCAGCCTCCCAAAGTGCTACGATTACACATGTGAGCCACCTCACCCAGCCCATTTTTATTTACTAATCGTCACATTAATCCTGTGAGGTGGATAATATCATTGGTCCCATTTATAGTGGGATTTGGAAAAGTTCAGTAATATACCCCAGGTTACCCAGCATGAGTAACTGAAACCCAGGCTGGGCCAGTCTGCTTAGTCTCAGGGATAGCCAGGGTCAGTTCACAAATCTCTGTCAAAATGTTACTCAAATAAAAGGCACCAGATTAACACTGAACAGCTGTTAACAGAAGAAGGAGAAATGGATGTCAAGGAGACAACCACAATAGATGTCCACCATGATGTAAAAATTTTTGGGTTCTTTTGTTTTGTTTTGTTTTGTTTTTTTTGATATGGAGTCTTTCTCTGTTGCCCAGGCTGGAGTGCAATGACGCGATCTCAGCTCACCACAACCTCTGCCTACCGGGTTCAAGTGATTCTCCCTGCCTCAGCCTCCCAAGCAGCTGGGATTACAGGTGCCTGCCACCACACCCAGCTAAATTTTTGTATTTTTAGTAGAGACAGGGTTTCACCATGTTGGCCAGGCTGGTCTCGAACTCCTGACCTCATGCGATCCGCCCACCTCGGGGGTCCCAAAGTGCTGGGGTTACAGGCATGAGCCACCACGCTTGACCATAAAAGGGATTTTTAATGAAGAAAGAGGAGTGTTGTTCAAAACCAAAATAAGAGAATCAAATGACTTCTTTAAAAAATCTCCAAATGTATATATTTTTCTTAACCAAACCATTTTTTTTATTTCATTTTCTCAGACCTCACGGAACTTTTAAATGAACACATCCCATTGGATATTTAAGTAGAAGAATTAACCTGTATCTGTCTACCTTAGGCCTGAAAATAGTTCAGAATTTCTCCTAGACCTACATTTTACTACTCACATTGAAACACAATCTTGTCAGTTCATATTAGAATTAAGAGTCTATTCTTAACAACTCAATGAGACAAATTTCTTTTCTTTTTTTTTGAGACGGAGTCTCGCTCTGTCGCCCAGGCTGGTGTGCAGTGGCGTGATCTTGGCTCACTGCAAGCTCCGCCTCCCGGGTTCACGCCATTCTCCTGCCTCAGCCTCTCCAGTAGCTGGGACTACAGGCGCCCGCCACCATGCCCGGCTAATTTTTTTCTATTTTTTAGTAGAGATGGGGTTTCACCGTGTTAGCCAGGATGGTCTCAATCTCCTGACCTCGTGATCCACCTGCCTCGGCCTCCCAAAGTGCTGGGATTACAGGCTTGAGCCACCGCACCCAGCTGACAAATTTCGTGATATGCACAGATGCGTTTATAAAATTAAGGACACTACAACAGTAAATATGCTGCCTCTTATATGAGGAACGAGCCCTAAACAAAAATGGGATTTCCCCTAATTTTCTACCCTGAACTGAATTTTACTTTTTCTACAGCAGACATTGAAACAGAATCTTATCACTTTACATTACATCTTAATAGTATATTTCAAACAGCTGAGGGAGGTGCATGTGGTGATGTGCATAAGTGCATTTATAAAAACCTAGGGCATTAAATCAACAAGTATGCTTCCTCATATAAGCAGAGCCAGGCCTAAACGACCATGTGGCCTCAAGAAAACTGCCCAGGAACGTTTTCTCCAAACTTTGAGATCTTTTTTTTTTTTCCTATAAAAAGGTGCCATTATCAGGAGAGGGGAGGCTGATTGTAAGATGTTCTTAGTTTATTTTGAACTATTTGAACTATAGACAGATAATGCTGAAGCAAGGAGAGAAACCAATCTTTTAACAAATATCTTCAAATAGTTGGTAAATTCCGAGCTGGTATATCTGAGGTCATTGAGACTATGAATTCTAACTCTGTGGGCTGACCTTACCTACATCCCCTAAACTGCTGGAGTGCCTTAATTTCTCTCTCAGGCATTTTTTCGCTTGTACTTGAAATAGACACTGTGAACAGAAAAATGAATGAAGCACAGTTCCTGCCCCCCAGATGTTAACATCTAAAAAAGGAACGCAGACATGTAAGTAGACAGCAAGAATAAAATGCGATTAAGGTAACAACGGAGGTTTGCACAGAGAGCCGTGGGGAAGCACAGATTAGAGAGGGCCAACTTCCTGGAGGTGTCAGAAGAGGCTTCACAGAAAAAAAAAAATTACTTATAAACTGGAAGGATCAGTAAGAATTTGCCAAGCACGGAAGGGAAGGTGTGGATTTCAAACAGAAGAAAAAGCACTTGCAAAGACATAAAAATCAAAGACAGGTCTATCCTTCACCATAGTCTAGGTTTGGTTCCAATCACCAAATCTTAGTGGCTTATACTACCAAAGATTTGTTTCTCACTGCCATCATAAATGGGTTGGGCAGGTGCGGGCAGGTCAGCCGCCCTCTTGAATTCTGCTAGTCGCTATGGCAGGAACTCAATCCAGGTCTTGAACTGGCAATTAACTGCCCTGTCCCGGAAGTGATACCCATCACGTCCTCTCACAAGTTATTGACCAGCTGCACTCAAGGGGGCCCGGCAGTGCAATCCCATCATGTGCGCAGAAGGTCAAAAGCCAGAAATCTTTGGCAAACCCCAGCACTAATGACTCCCACAAATATGTCACCTAAAGCTCTGTGTTCAGGAAGTGGTGGTTTGTGTACCAGGGTTACAGTTCATTGAGCATGGAGGGGCAGCAGCCAATGGGGCTGGAGAAAACGGGAAGGGTCTGTTGGTGAAAGGCCTCGGGGGTCCTTCCTTTGGACCAAAATTTTTGTTAAGTGCTTCAGTGAGTGTGATAATCAGGGTTGAAAACATAGCAATACCCTGCCCTCCATTTCAGCAATGGCTCTGTCACCCATAGGAAACCTATTGGCTTGTAGTGGATTGCTTTTCTAATCCCAAATCTAAGATTTGGTGATTGGAACCAAACCTAGACTATGGCGAAGGATAGACCTGTCTTTGATTTTTATGTCTTTGCCTGTGCTTTTTCTTCTGTTTGTGCCCCCACAGGGCACAGCCTTAGCCACAGTAGAACTCTGCACACCTGTGAAGGAATTCAGCTCAATAGCTCAGGAGGAAATTGCAGAGTTGCTTCCCTTCCTACTTTGGATGTTAGTAATGGATTTCAATTCTTAGTCATTAAGAAATCTTCAAGTCCAAAGGATTTGCCAGAGATGGTGTAATCAGCCAAGATTCTGAAATGCAATCTACTATGGGGGCATTTCTCCTGGCATTAGTCTCAGGGATAGTCAGGGTCAGTTCCCAAATCTTGACTCCAGTTCGGTAGAGCCGTGCCCCTGGAATCGTATTACTGTTGAGTGGGCAGGTACACCATGCAGAAGGACTTTGCAGACAGCCTCACGCAGAAAACAGACCAACAAGTATTTGGCTTCCTCGTTCAGTCTGGTGAGAGCTGTTGGCTTGTTCAGGCTTTTGCCTTAGGGCTATGGCAAAACAACTAAGTGGGTGCAAAAGAGGGGTTTTCTGTTTTCTTGCTTTTTTTTTTTTTTTTTTTTTTTTTGAGACGGAGTCTCACTCTGTCGCCCAGGCCGGACTGCGGACTGCAGTGGCGCAATCTCGGCTCACTGCAAGCTCTGCTTCCCGGGTTCACGCCATTCTCCTGCCTCAGCCTCCCGAGTAGCTGGGACTACAGGCGCCCGCCACCGCGCCCGGCTAATTTTTTTTGTATTTTTAGTAGAGACGGGGTTTCACCTTGTTAGCCAGGATGGTCTCGATCTCCTGACCTCATGATCCACCCGCCTCGGCCTCCCAAAGTGCTGGGATTACAGGCGTGAGCCACCGCGCCCGGCCTTTTATTTTTTTTTTGAGCATGACTTAGGTGAAAGGCATCTTGCTATGTCCCACGATGCTATGGTGCACTGTATATAGAGTACAAACTAGAGGAAGGCATTGTGCAGAATAAAAGAACCAAGTCTCATCTGACATCTAACATACTCCCTGACTTCAGGCATTTTCCAGCCCTTCTTCAGATGGTGATAACATACAGAGAGGGATGAGATAGCATCTGCAAAGCACTTTGGACTTCTTAGAAGAAAGACAGCAGATAAACATAAGGTATTAATAGTATGCATTTTTTTTTTTTTTTTACTAGCTGTCACATCTGGCTCTTTGTTCTTTGCCTGGATTACAAAATGAATGGTTTCAAAGGAAAAAATATCCTAGTAAAAACACATCCACCCACAACACTTCCACTAGATGGGCACATTTTATATTAGATGTAAATAATCTTGGACTATCATAAGATTCTTGTTTCTGGCAGGGGTTTTCCAGCTGAAGAAAATCTATTAATTAGCAAGATGCTGCCAGTATGTTATTCCCTATGAATGCCTTGGAACTGTAGACATTAACTCTTCTAAACCCAAACTTTTGGACTTTAGCACCAGAAACACATAGCACTTTTCTTATTTAAACTATTGACCCAGCCGGGTGCAATGGCTCACACCTGTAATCACAGCACTTTGAGAGGCTGAGGTGGGTGGATCACCTGAGGTCAGGAGTTCGAGACCAGCCTGGCCAACATGGCAAAACCCCGTCTCTACTAAAAATACCAAATTAGCCGGGTGTGGTGGCGGGCACCTGTAGTCCCAGCTACTCAGGAGGTTGAGGCAGGAGAATTGCTTGAACCCGGGAGATGGAGGTTGCAGTGAGCCGAGATTGCGCCACTGCACTTCAGCCTGGGTGACAGAATGAGACCCTGTCTCAAAAAATAATAATAAAAAATAAATTATAGACCTATAAGTAAAGACCAATATTTTATAAAGGCGAATTACTTGTAGCTCTTTAATTTTTTTAAAAGATATTGCCACTACTGGGCCACTGTGGGTCTTTTACTTCTCCAAGTGTTTCTGAAAAAGGAGGAAGGGTAAAGGGAAAGTACCCATCCAAAATGTTACAGGGCAAAAGCTAAGTGCCTCTCAGCATTCCAGGTCCAGCTGCTTTTCCCCTGCTCACCAATTGAGGTTTCTGTGGAATTTATGCCGCAGATGGACATAAACCTTTCTGTGGGGTGCTTGGATGACAACTGCACTCGGAATGAGATGTAGGTACCCAACCTAATGCAATTGCTGGCCTTAAACTGACACATTTAAGAAAGATGTTTCAATTACCAGCCTGGACAAAAGCCTTTCTCCTAATTAAATTTACACAGTAACTAAGAAAAGAGAACAGTGAGGAGGAACTTAGCCCAGGGTGACTCTGTAGCCCCTCAGCCTTCCCCAACCATTCCCCCTAAAGAGGCCCCAGCTTCCAGATCTCAAGCATCCCCCAGTCCCCTGAAGGTTAACGATGCTGTTTCCTGCTGAACCAGCCAGAAACAACTAACACGCAAGTGGATTTATTTTTACCCCAGGCTTTGTCATCTATCATTACTGAAAAACTAAGAGGCAGATTTTGGCTGAACAGCCTGCGGAATATTCAAGATCTCCATGCAGAATTTGGCCCTCCGTCTGCCGCAATTCATCTTATTTAGAGTGGCCTTCTCCTCCCTGCCAATGTTCCTCATTAGCAAGGATATCTGCATTCACGACAACAAACTCTCTCTTTTGGTCTGGTCTGGAGTCTAAGGGATCCTGTGATGACATCACCATGCCACACCACTGACATCATAGCTTTCTTGGTGGAAGCAGTCATTGGTACCTCGGATGACATAGTCTATTTAACCAAAGACTGGGGAACAAATTTAAATATGTCTTGCAGATGTTCTCAGCACACAGACTTCACCAACAAAAGCTTATTTATTGAAGGGCATTCTCCCTGGATTTAAGTATATTTCACTTGCTGAGGGTATCTTTCGCTGGTCTGCAAGATGGAAATGATAGAGGCTGCTGATTTCATGCCTTCTGGAACCATGAGACCCAGCTGAGCACTGCATTGGTGACTCTCCATTACCTTCCATATTACATTCAAACTATTCATTCTAGGCCTCCAGACTTCACTGTTCATGGAATTGTGCATGCATCTCCTTTCTCATCCTTTTCCAGTCAAGCAAACTTGATTTGAGCCCTTCAAAGTCAATCCAGGCCAGACATGGTGGCTCATGCCTGTAATCCCAGCACTTTGGGAGGCCAAGGCTGGTGGATCACCTGAGGTCAGGAGTTCGAGACCAGTCTAAACAATAGGGTGAAACCCCATCTCTACTAAAAATACAAAAAAATTAGCCAGGCGTGGTGACATGTGCCTGTAATCCCAGCTACTTGGGAGGCTGAGACAGGAGAATTGCTTGAACAACAGGAGGCAGAAGTTGGCCGCAGTGAGCCAAGGTCACGCCACTGCACTCCAGCCTGGGCAACAGAGCAAGACTCCCTCTCAAAAAAAAAAAAAAAAAAATCAAAGTCAAAGGATTTACAAGCTGGTTCCTGTGTGGCCCACATGGTGCTGGATCCAGGCCCTGCCCCTCTGTCTCCTATTTCCATATTTAATTTAAAGCTCCCTCCTGTTCTCCATTGATTTTTTTTTTTTTTCCAAACACCAAACTACTACCCATCCTTTTCAAACCCAACAAATACTTCTTTCAGTATAGCTTGGGTTTTTTTCTTTCCAACTTTTAATTTAGGCTCAGGTGGTACATGCATAGGTTTGTCACATGGCTAAGTTGCATGTTGTAGGGGTTTGGTGTACAGATCATTTTGTCACCCAGGTAATCAGCATAACAACTGATAGGTAGTTTTTAAAATTATTGTTGTTGTTGTTTGAGACAGAGTCTCATTCTGGCACCCAGGCTGGAGTGCGGTGGCACAATCTCAGCTCACGGCAACCTCCACCTCCCAGGTTCAAGCGATTCTCCTGCCTCGGCCTCCCAAGTAGCTGGGATTACAGGCATGCACCACCACACCCAGCTAACTTTTTTTTTTTTTTTTTAGATGGAGTCTCGCCCTGTCACCCAGGCTGGAGTGCAGTGGTGCAATCTCACCTCACTGCAACCTCCGCCTCCCGGGTTCAAGCGATTCTCCTGCCTCAGCCTCCTGAGTAGCTGGGATTACAGGTGCCCGCCACCACACTGGGCTAATTTTTGTATTTTTAGTACAGACAGGGTTTTATCATATTGGTCAGACTGGTCTTGAACTCCTGACTTCGTGATCTGCCCACCTCAGCATCCCAAGGTGCTGGGATTACAAGCATGAGCCACCGCAACAAACCTAATTTTTGTATTTTTTTTTTAGTAGAGATAGAGTTTTACCATGTTGGCCAGGCTGGTCTCGAACTCCTGGCCTTAAATGATCCGCCCACCTTGGCCTCCCAAAGTGCTGGGATTATAGGTGTGAACCACCACGCTGGCATGATAGGTAGTTTTTTAATCTTCACCCTCTGCCTACCCTCCACCCTCCAGTGGGCCCTGCTCTCTGTTGTTCCCTTTTTATCCATCTGTACTCAATGTTTAGCTCCCACTTATGAGTGAGAACATACAGTATTTGGTTTTCTTTTTATTTTGAGATGGCATCTCGCTCTGTGGCCCATGCTAGAGTGCAGTGATGGCATCTCAGCTCACTGTAACCTCTGCTTCCCAGGTTCAAGCGATTCTCCTGCCTCAGCCTCCTGAGTAGCTGGGATTACAGGTGTGCACCACCATACCTGGCTAATTTTTATATTTTTAGTAGAGATGGGGTTTTGCTATGTTGGCCAGGGTGGTCTTGAACTGCTGACCTCAAGTGATCCACTCACCTTGGCCTCCCAAAATGCTGGGATTACAGGCGTGAGCCCCTGTGCCTGGCCAGCATTTGGTTTTCTGTTCCTGTGTTATTAACTTAGGATAATCACCTCCAGCTCCATTCATGTTGCTGCAAAGGACATGATTTTGTTCTTTTTATGGCTGCGTAGTATTCCATGGTGTGTATGTTCCAGATTTTCTTTATCCAATCCACCATCGATGGGCATCTGGTTGATTCCATGTCTTTGCTATTGTGAATAGTGCTGCGATGAACATATGAGTGCATATGTCTGTATGGTATAACAATCTATAGCAAGATAGCTTTTGACAGATGGGGAAATTGAGGCATCAGAACTTGCCCAAGATCACAAGGCTCATCAGAAAAGAGTGGAGCCTGCAATAAGTTTCCATCTGAAAGCAAAACCCGCTGTGCTGTCCTGCTCCAGAGAATGTCACTGAGAGGAGGACTGCAATGCTTCATTTTATGTGTCAACTTGATGGCACCACGGGGTAACGATGAAGTAGAAAACCCTCCCCATTGTGGGAGGGCATCGACCAATCCACTGAGGGCCTGAATAGAGCAAACAGTTGGAGGAAAGAGGAATTTGCTCCTTTTTCCCCTTCCTGGCTGATTGTTTGAGCTGGGACATCCAATTTCTCCTGCCCTGAGGTCAGGAGTTCGAGACCAGCCTGGCCAACGTGGTGAAACCCCGTCTCTACTAAAAATACAAAAACTAGCCAGGTGCGGTGGTACTTGCCTGCAGTCCCAGCTGCACAGGAGGCTGAGGCACGAGAATCACTTGAATCCGGGAGTTGGAGGTTGCAGTGAGCCGAGGTCACACCACTGCACTCCAGCCTAGGTAACAACAAAAAAAACCTTGGAAAAATGTCTAGGTCTGTATTTATCACTACTTGGTCCTGAGAGTGGCACTGAGGACAGAGATCACATCCAGAGGTTCTGTTCTGCTGCTACTAGCATGGGAAAGCCCAGTGTTCCTTGATACCAGTACAGATGTGAAGCCTTTTCCCTTCAGCTATCTGCCTTCTGCTGAGAAAGGAGAGAAGCCAGAAGCAGGTTTCCCCACCTGTCCCATGTGCACCGACCCCGCACACGCTCACCTATGACAATGTTACTCATGCCATTTCCCTAAGGCATTTAAGTCACCGGGCAATTAAAACCCAAGATGCTGGGTGTGTGGATCCAATCAGGGCAGCCTTCACAACGCCCAATTATTACCCGGAAATCCAGCATTGTTCTGGAATCCCTGAGGTTTCTTCAAGATGACACTTGCATTTCTAAGCACAGAACTCCAACTTCTTCTTCATTACCCTACCGGCCTATTTCCCAGGAAGTAAACAAGCACAATGTCATCATTCTATTCTATCCCGAACCTTCCTACAGCTCCCTGGCAGAAGGTTAGCGGGGGTTTTCTCTCTCTAGTTTGGCTGACTCAGATCTCTCCTCTCCCCCTGGTTGCCTTGAGGAGGCCGAGGTTCTAGGTTTTCTGGTTTCAAAATAAATTGGCAGAAATCTGAAATGATGCCAATACCGCCTTCCTGCCCGCAGGCAGCTGGGTCCCAGTGGGAGGTCTCTTAGCAACCAGGCTCAAATCAAATATTTGGGCGTCTGGACACATTCTGATTGGAATGAGATCATAAACAAAAACTTCTCTCTTTCCCTCAACCCAGTTACCAAGCCCCTGGGTTGCTGCCCTGCACCAGGGAAGTCCGTGACTCATGCGGAACCTTCAGTTACAGGCAGGCCCCACAATGAGACATCGCAGTCCCAGACGGCCAGGCCAGAGATCCACTTCTATTTCTGTCTTGATAGGTAGCCTTGCACAAGACATGCCAGCTTCAACTTTTTTGTGGCTGTGCCTACCTAAAACCCAAAGTTTTAATTTGATCCCAAAGTTTTAAAGGAGCTTCTGCACGCAGCTCCTTCCAGAAATCAAACTGTTCCCAGGTTCAAGGAGGCATGAGCTTCAGTTCAAGTCAGAAGCAAACCAGAAGAAACGAGGGTTTCTGAGTCCTCTCTTCCTCCATCTGCCATCTCGTCCTTCTCTCCACCTTCCCTGCAAGTGACAAATGACGCAGGGTTGAGAGAAGGGGCAGATGGATGCTAGCCAAGGGTAGTTTCACATCTTTTATTTTCCAACCTCTAATCCCAAGTTTTGTACACTCAGAAAAACAAAATACACCAATTTTGGCTTTGGTTGCTAATTTCAATTGGTATCCTTACACACAGGGGAGATTTTATCTCAGTTTTTTTTTTTTTTTTTTTTTTTTTTTTTTGAGATAAAGTCTCACTCTGTCCCTCAGGCTGGAGTGCAATGACGCGATCTTGGCTCACTGCAGACTCCGCCCAGCTAATTTTTGTATTTTTTTAGTACAGACGGGGTTTTGCCATGTTGGGTAGGCTAGTCTCGAACTCTTGAACTCAGGTGATCCACCCACCTCGGCCTCCCAAAGTGCTGGGATTACAGACATGAGCCACCATGCCCAGACATAAAACTCTATTGTATGGATATAAAAGCTGAGATAAAGTCTCCCCTGTATATAAGGATACCAATTGTCACCTTTAAAGATACCCTACCCCTTACCCTGGGGGACAAACATTGCCAGGTCCTAAATAAGCACTTAAAGAATTGAATTAGCACCCAAAACACCTGGAAAGTCATTTCTTCTTTCAGTGGTAATAAGCAAGTGGTAAATTAGGCACCACTGGTTTGCCTCCACCATGCTCTAATTTTGTGGCTTCAAGGGCGGCAGGTTGCGTAACTCCTCTCAGTCTCAGTTTCCATATCTGGAAAATGGAAATAATAGTAGTACAGACAGTCGTCTACTTACAATAATTTAACACATAATTTTTCTTTTTTTTTTTTTTGAGACAGAGTTTTGCTCTTGTCGCCCAGGCTGGAGTGCAGTGGCACGATCTTAGCTCACCGCAACCTCTGCCTCCTGGGTTCAAGCGATTCTCCTGCCTCAGCCTCCTGAGTAGCTGGGATTACAGATGCATGCCACCATGCCCAGCTAATTTCTGCATTTTTAGTAGAGACAGGGTTTCACCACCTTGGCCAGGCTGGTCCTGAACTCCTGCCCTCAGGTGATCCGCCCACCTTGGCCTCCCAAAGTGCTGGGATTACAGGCATGAGCCACCACGCCAAGCCTAACTTAGAATTTTTCAGCTTTATGATGATGTGAAAGCAATTTGCATTTAGTAGAAACTACTTTGAGGCCGGGTGTGGTGGTTCATGCCTGTAATCCCAGCACTTTGAGAGGCCAAGGTAGTCAGATCGATTGAGCCCAGGAGTTCAAGACCAGCCTGGGTGACATGGCAAAACACTGTCTCTACTAAAAATACAAAACTTAGACGTGTTGGCGAGCGCTTGTAGTCCCAGCTACTCAGGAGGCTGAGGCAGGGAGAATCATTTGAGCCTGGGAGGCGGAGGTTGCAATGAGCCATGACTGCACCACTGCACTCCAGCCTGGGCAACAGAGTGAAACCCTGTCTCAAAAAAAAAAGAAAAAAGGAAAAGAAACTATACTTCGAGTACCTATACAAATGTTCGCTTTTCATTTTCAGCACAGTGTTCAATACATTCCATGAGATACTCAATACTTTTTATTTATTTATTGAGACAGAGTTTCGCTCTTTCTGCCCAAGCTGGAGTGTAGTGGTGCAATCTCGGCTCACTGCAATCTCCGCCTCCTGGGTTCAAGGGATTCTCCTGCCTCAGCCTCCTGAGTAGCCGAGATTACAGACGTGCGCCACCACGCCCCGCTAGTATTTGTATTTTTAGTAGAGATGGGGTTTCACCATATTGGTCAGGCTGGTCTCAAATTCTTGACCTCATGAACCGCCCACCTCGGCCTCCCAAAGTGCTGGGATTACAGGCATGAGCCACCTTGCCAGGCATATTTATTTATTTTTTGAGAGGGACTCTTGCTTTGTCGCCCAGGCTTGAGTGAAATGGCACGATCTCAGCTCACTGCAACCTCTGCCTCCCAGGTTTAAGCAATTCTCCTGCCTCAGCCTCCCGAGTAGCTGAGATTACAGGCGTGTGCCACCATGTTCAGCTAATTTTTTTGCATTTTTAGTAGAGATGGGGTTTCACCATGTTGGCCAGGATGGTCTTGAACTCCTGACCTCAGGTGATCCACCTACCTCGGCCTCCCAAATCAACACTTTATTTTAAAATAGGCTTTGGGTGAGATGATTTTGCCCAACTATAGGCTAATGTAAGCGTTCTGAGCACATGTAAGGTAGGCCAGACTAAGATGTGATGTTGGGTGGGTTAGTTATACTAAATGCATTCTCAGCCGGGCATGGTGGCTCACGCCTGTAATCCCAGCATTTTGGGAAGCCAGGGTGGGCAGATCATTTGAGGTCAGGAGTTCAAGACCAGGTTGGTCAACATGGTGAAACCCTGTCTCTACTAAAACTAAAAAAATTGGTCAGGCGTGGTGGCTCACGCATGTAATCCCAGCATTTTGGGAGGCTGAGGCGGGCAGATCACCTGAGGTCAGGAGTTTGAGGCCAGCCTAGCCAACATGGTGAAACCCCGTTTTTACTAAAAATACAAAAATTAGCTGGGGGTGGTGGTGTGTGCCTGTAATCCCAGCTACTCAGGAGGCTGAGGCAGGAGAATCGCTTGAAGCCAGGAGGCAGAGGTTACAGTGAGCTGAGATAGCACCATTGCACTCCAGCCTGGGCCAGAGGGTGACACTCCATCTCAAAAAAAAAAAAAAAAAAAAAAAAAAAAAAAAAAGCCAGGCATAATGGCGCACACCTGTAATCCCAGCGACTCAGGAGGTTGAAGCAGGAGAATCACTTGAACCCGGGAGGTGCAGGTTGCAGTAAGCAGATGCACTCCAGCTGGGCGACAGAGAGAGCCTCTGTCTCAAATAAATAATTAATTAAAGAAATAAAGGCATTTTCAACTTAACATAATTTTCAACTTACAATGGTTTGTCAGGACAGAACCCAATCATATAAGTCAGAGAGCATCTGTATTTACTTTGCCAGGTTGTTTTAAGAACATTAGACAGTGAGTGACTGTAAAATACCTAAACCAAAGGCAGTCAATAAATAGTAGCTACTGTTGTTGTCAGGAATTTTCACTTGAAAAACAAGATGACTTGATCAGTTTTATTTGAGCATGAAATAAAAGCATACTTCGGTTACTCAGTTGTTCTGATTATAAAATTATGGTAATTCTTGGCCAGGCATGGTGGCTCACACCTGTAATTCCAGCACTGTGGGAGATCAAGGTGGGAGGATTGCTTGAGGCCAAGAGTGATACCAGCCTGGGCAATGTGACAAAACCCCATCTCTACCAAAAATACAAAAAAATAACTGAGCATGATGGTATGTGCCTTGGTCCCAGCTACTGGGGAGGCTGATGTGGGAGGATTGCTTGAGCCTGGGAGGTCAAGGCTGCAGTGAGCCATCATGGTGCCACTGCACTCCTGCCTGGGTGACAGAGTGAGACCCCCATCTCAAAAAGAAAAAAAAAATTATGGTAATTCTTTATCTAAAAAGCTGCAGAAGAATACAGAATGAGTCAGTCAGCACCCCAGCTTCTATGGCTTAAGGTAAATCACCTTACCATTTCTAAATCACTCCTTGGTTAAAAAAAAAAAAAAAAATGTACCAGTGGCAATGTTTGCTAGAGCATTTATTAAAATAATTTTGGTCAAAGGAAATACCAAAGTTTATCATTAAGATTCCACAGTGACTCTGAATTCCATTTTGAACATCCTTCTTTGATCTCCTTTGGAAATAGCCTGAGTTTTTCCCTTGGGAGGCAAAGGAATCAATTTTTGTTAATCTTGTTTATACTATAGAGGATGCCAAATTTCAAGCACCGAAAGATACTTCTGAAATGGGCCTGAACACAGTGTCAAGGTTTGACAATAGACACATTTCACCATTTTCACTGACGTCAGCTGACAAAGAAGCTGGCATTATCTCTAATAGCCCAAAACTGGAAACAGCCCAAGTGCCCAAACAGTCAAGACTGTTTCCATAAAGAAATGGAATATCAGCCTTTCACTGAAGATAAAGATCCTGTTCAAAATCATATCAAGGGGCCGAACGCGGTGGTTCTCGCCTGTAACCCCAGCACTTTGGGAGGCCTAGGCAGGCGGATCACCTGAGGTCAGGAGTTCAAGACCAGCCTGGCCAACATGGCAAAACCTCGTCTCTACTAAAATATACAAAAATTAGCCGGGTGTGGTGGCACATGCCTGTAATTCCAGCTAATCAGGAGGCAGAGGCGGGAGAATTGCTTGAACCTGGGAGGTGGAGGTTGCAGTGAGCCGAAATTGTGCAACTGCATTCCAACCTGGGTGGCAGAGCAAGACTCTGTCTCAAAAAAAAAATCATATCAAGTAAAAAATTAAAATGAAGTAAGAATGATTGTATTAATCTAACAACCAGGTTTAGAAACTAACAAAGGGAAACAGGATCTTCTGCACAGTAGATGCTGATATGAAGATTTGATCTTGATCCCCAAGAGTGCAGTTTTCTGATATGGTTTTATCTTTAAATACATGTTGGGATTTTTTTGTTTTGTTTTTTGTTTTTGGGGTTTTTTTTTTTTTTAGCTGTATCTGCCAAGCCTTGGGGCATCACCATTCTGGAACCACCTTAGTCCAAGTTCAAAGCTTGGTTTAAAAAAAAAAGTTTCAGCCGTGCACAGTGGCTCACGCCTGTAATCCCAGCACTTTGGGAGGCCAAGGTGGGCGGATCACGAGGTCAGGAGATGGAGACCATCCTGGCTAACACGGTGAAACCCCACCTCTACTAAAAATACAAAAAACAGCCGGGCTTGGTGGTGGGCGCCTGTAGTCCCAGCTACTCAGGAGACTGAGGCAGGAGAATGGCGTGAACCCGGGAGACCGAGCTTGCAGAGAACCGAGATAGCACCACTGCACTCCAGCCTGGGTGACAGTGCAAACTCTGTCTCAAAAAAAAAAAGTTTCAGACCGGGCACAGTGACTCATACCTGTAATCCCAGCACTTTGGGAGGCCAAGATGGGTGGATCACCTGAGGTCAGGAGTTTGAGACCAGCCTGGGCAACATGGCGAAGCCCCATCTCTACTAAAATATAAAAAATCAGCTGGGTGTGGTGACGCTCACCTGTAATCCCAGCTGCTCAGGAGGCTGAGGCAGGAGAATCACTTGGAGCAGGGAGGTGGAGGTTGCAGTGAGCTGAGATGGCACCAGTGCACTCCAGCCTGGGGACAGAGTGAGTCTCAAAAAAAAAAAAAATGTTTCAGAGACAAAATCTTGCTGTCACCCAGGCTGGAGTGTAGTGGTGCCATCACAGCTCACTGTAGCCTTGAACTCCTGGGCTCAAGGGATCCACCTGCCTCAGCCTTCTGAGTAGCTGGGGCTACTGGTGCATGCCACCATGCCCAGTTAATTTTTTTAAAATTATTTTTGTAGAGATGGGGGTCTCACTATGTTGCCCAGGCTTGTCTCAGACTCCTGGCCTCAAGTGATCCTACAACAGCCTCCCAGAATGCTTGGAATACAGGCATGAGCGCCTGTACCCAGCCTACATACATGTATCCTGGGTAAGTACTTGATTATCTTTACAAAGTAACCCTTCCTATAGTCCATGTTGATTGAGCATCTACTATGTATCAGGCATTGTTGGGGAAATACCAGTGAAGTGACATTCTTTTGGAGTTGACATTCTAGTGTGGGACATAAACAATAAACAAACCTGTGAGTACACCCCTTTACAAAAAACAATGTTCACTTTTAAATTGCACAGCCACACAGTCAAGTAGGTAGGGTTTACTGTGTGCATCAGATAGATGAGGAAACAAACTTGGCTGACATCAGCCAGCTGGAAGTGATAGACACACCTAGGATTTGAACCTAGGTCACCTGGTACTTTTCCCTTTGCCAATAGCAGGTTAAGTAATTTAGATCAACCCTCCTACGAAAGACAACTTAAAAGCTGGCTGAAAGATTTGTTTAGTTTTCTTAAGAGCATCAAAATGATAATAAGGTAGCGAAGAAACATCTGCCAAAATCAAGGCCAGGACAAACCCAGAAGTGGTTTGCCCAGCCCACAGAGCTTTTATTCTAAGGCATTTGTCAATCTGGAAAAAAAGAAAAAAAAAAAAAACAGCTTTGAAAATGAGCTATTCTTTCCATAGTCTCACAGGCTTTGAACACAATTCAGAGCCCAGGACCTGCCAAGGCTGGGGATCCAGATACACCACTCCCCATGTCAAGCAAGCTCCTCAGGGTTGGGGAGAAGGGCAAGTATGCAGCCCTCAGGCTCACAGTCAAGTTCAGATCGTCTGGGCGGTCCGGGAGTCTCAAACTTTGAACTTGGATTAAGGTGGTTCCAGACTGGTGGTGCCTCAAGGCCTGGCAGACACAGCTAAAAACCTCTCTGGAAGACTCCACCATTATTCATATATATATATTCATACATATGCAGTGGCCGATACCACCTAAGAGAATTCAGGCACTCAGGAAAGCAGGACATCACAGCCCAGCGTGGTAGCTCAAGCCTGTAATCCCAGCACTTTGGGAGGCTGAGGCAGGTGGATCACTTGAGGCCAGGAGTTCGAGACCACCCTGGCCAACATGGCGAAACCCCGTCTCTACTAAAAATACAAAATTAGCTGGGTGTGGTGGCACGCACCTGTAATCCCAACTACTCAGGAGGCTGAGGTAGGAGGATTGCTTGAGCCAGGGAGGTGGAGGTTGCAGTGAGCAGAGATCACACTACTGTACTCCAGCCTGGATGACAGAGCAAGATTCCGTCACAAAAAAAAAAAAGAGAGAAAAAAGAAAACAAGGCATTAAGAGCTAGGATGGCAGGAACAGCCAAGAGTGCAAACGAACTCGCAGAGACTTTAGAAATGAGAATTCTCAGACACAGGCCATAAAACAACTCTGTTTACCGCCTTCAGAAACATAAAAGCTACTCTTGACAATTATAGCAACAGGAAACTATAGAAAATGACATAAAAGATCTTTTAAATGGCCAACTAGAAATTCTCAAACTGAAAAATACAGTCATTGAAGTTAAAAAGCCAACGGCTGACTTCATAGCAGATCATCTCGGCTGAAGTGAGAATTAGTGAACCAGAAGACAGGTCAGAAAAAACTATACAGAATTCAGCTTGAAAAGAAAAAAAACAAAGGAAAATATGAAAAGGAGAGTGTGTTAAAAAGATCTAACATACATTTAATTGACATACAGAAAGAAAGAAGAATGAGATACTGGAGCAAAGCCAATGTTTGGAGAAATAATAGCCAGGAATTCTCCAGAGCTGACGGCAGACATCAACTCACAGTTTTTAAGAGCCCAGCAAATCCCAAGCAACATAAATTTGTAAAAGTCCACACTTAGGTACGATGCAAAAAACTGAAGACAGGCCGGGGGCCGTGGCTCATGACTGTAATCCCAGCACTTTGGGTGTCCAAGCAGGGCGGATCACAAGGTCAGGAGATCAAGACCATACTGGCCAATATGGTGAAACCCCGTCTCTACTGAAAATACAAAAATTAGCCAGGCGTGGTGGCACATACCTGTAGTCCCAACTACTTGGGAGGCTGAGGCAGGAGAATCGCTTGAACCCGGGAGGCAGAGGTTGTGGTGAGCCAAGATCATGCCACTGCACTCCAGCCTGGTGACAGAGCAAAACTCCATCTCAAAAAAAGTAAATAAAGTAAAAAACAAAAAAAAAAAACAGTCCAAGATACTTAATCCAAACTATATCATCATTCTTCATTAGAATCTAGAACATTTCTTTTTTTTTTTTTTTTTTTTTTTGAGACAGAGTGTTGCTCTGTCACCAGGCTGGAGTACAGTGGCACAATCTCAGCTCACTGCAACCTCTGCCTCCTGGGTTCCAGCGATTCTCCTGCCTCAGCCTCCCAAGTAGCTAGCTGGGATTACAGGTACATGCCACCTTACCTGGCCAATGTTTTTCTTTCTTTCTTTTTTTTGAGATGGAGTTTTGCTCTTTTTGCCCAGGCTGGAGTGCAATGGCGCAATCTCGGCTCACTGCATCCTACTCCTCCCGGGTTCAAGCGATTCTCCTGCCTCAGCCTCCCGAGTAGCTGAGATTACAGGGATGCGCCACCATGCCCAGCTAATTTTGTATTTTTTTAGTAGAGATGGGGTTTTTCCATGTTGGTCAGATTGGTCTTGAACTCCTGACCTCAGGTGATCCACCCACCTTGGCCTCCCAAAGTGCTGGGATTGCAGGTGTGAGCCACTGCGCCCGGCCGACATTTAGTTTTTACACTGTTCATTATGGGTGCTCCAAATCGCAGGGACTATGTTTCACTCATCACATGTGCCTAGCATGGGAACGAGGGCCTGGATTATAATCGGAATTCATACATTATTTTGTGAGTGAATGAATTAGAAGACAAAGCAAGGCAATTCTACCAGGCACACACCAGAAATACTGACTTACTGGGAAGGTTTCAGACAGACAGAATGACAGTCTAACTCCCTGGGGAGAAATGCTTCATCTTCCTTCTTTTATTGTCTCCCATTATACATTATCTACTGCAGTTTCTTTCTTTCTTATTTTTCTTTTTTAGAGTCTGGGTCTCACACTATCGCCCAGGCTGGAGTGCAGTGGCATGATCACAGCTCACTGCAGCCTCAACCTCCTGAGATCAAAGGATCCTCCCACTTCAGCCTGCCAATTAGCTGGGTCTATAGGCACCCACCACCATGCCTGGCTAACTTCTGTATTTTTTTTAAGAGATGGGGTCTAGCTATATTGCCCAGGCTGGACTTGAACTCCTAGGCTCAAGTAATCCTCCTGCTTCAGCCTCCTAAGTAGCCAGGACTACAAGTGTGTGCCACCATGCCCAACCTGCAGCTTTTTCTGCAACTACATAGATTTTTTGGCCAGGCGCACTGGCTCACACCTATAATCCCAGAACACTGGGAGGCTGAGGCAGGCGGATCACTTGAGGTCAGGAGTTCGAGACCAGCCTGGCCAACATGGTGAAACCCAGTCTCTACTAAAAAATACAAAAATTAGCTGGGCAAGAAGGTGGGAGCCTGTAGTCCCAGCTACTTGGGAGGCTGAGGCAGGAGAATCGCTTGAATCCGAGAGGTGGAGGTTGCGGTGAGCTGAGATATTGCCACTGCACTCCAGCCTGGATGCAAGGGTGAGAGTCAGTCTCAAAAAAATAAATAAATTGGCCGGGCACAGTGGCTCACACCTGTAATCCCAGCACTTCGAGAGGAGGCCAAGGTGGGCGGATCATGAGGTCAGGAGATAGAGACCATCCTGGCTAACATGGTGAAACCCCATCTCTACTAAAAATACCAAAAAAAAAAAAAAAAAAATTAGCTGGGCGTGGTGGTGTGCGCCTGTAATCCCAGCTACTAAGGAGGCTGAGGCAGGAGAATTGCTTGAACCTGGGAGGCAGAGGTTGCAGTGAGCTGAGATTGTGCCACTGCACTCCAGCTGGGGCAATAGAGCGAGACTCCGTCTATAAATAAATAAATAAATAGCCCCCTTTGTGGGGGGGGGGGGGTTCTGATAGGCCCTTTCCAGAAGCAGTCCATGCATGGGGGGGCAGGAAGGGGGATGCTCTCTTAAATGTTCTGCAATTGCGCCCCCCCCAGTCAGAAGCAGAAGTGGAGTTTATACAACAGATCCCTAGGCTCTGGCCTTATGCAAAGCACGCTTCACCACCACCGCAGATCCTGCTAGTTACTTAGAAGCCAAGCAGCAGGCTGGGCATCAGGGCTCACGCCTGGAATCCCAGCACTGTGGGAGGCCGAGGCGGTCGGATCATTTGAGTTCAGGAGTTGGAGACCAGCCTGGCCAACATGGTGAAACCCCGTCTCTACTAAAAATACAAAAATTAGCCAGGCGTGGTGGTGTGCACCTGTAATCCCAGCTACTTGGGAGGCTGAGGCAGGAGAATTGCTTGAACCCAGGAGGTTGCAGTGAGCCGAGATTGGGCCACTGCATTCCAGCCTGGGCGACAGAGTGAGACTCTGTCTCAAAAAAAAAAAAAACCATGCGGCAGGCCCTGAAACCTCTCTATGGCAAAGCAGCTCCCACGGCATGCTAATTAGCAATGGAAACACAGCCACTCAAAGCAGCTTTATGGCCGATCTGAGCTGACAACGGAAGGACGCCCACAGGCTGTCACTCGAAATCCCTTGTTCTTATCAGCCTCGTCTTTCTCCCCAATATCCTTGACAGTTGCGTTCTGCCCCAAATACCAGCCTGTGGCCCCATCTGATGTCCCCTGTCATCCCGGGAGCTTTAGAAGAAGCATCATGCTCTATACATGAAATGACACACAGAAGTCACTCCTTTAATTGGGGGCCCTTTGCAGTTTCTGAGGAGTGTTCACAAGGTAGAAAGCCTGCAGTTATGAAAGCCTGGGTGTGTGGCCTCAAGTGGATTTGGGAGCTAGAGGGAAGTGACTTCCTCTCCGTCTGAGCAGTTATATAAATCTCCCCTGAACTCATTGGCTGCAGCCCTCCGGAGGAGCACGACACAGTTACCCACCTACATGATTAATCAGTGCCCGGGAAGAACAACAGCCACCCCACTTTGTCTTCACATGTTCAAGTGACTTTGCTGCCACATCACTGTCAGTGGACCACGTGCTTTGGTTGGCTTTGCCGACTGTGGAAATGAATTTACACCAATTTGTCCACCCGCACCCTCAGTCGGCTTTCTGTCCTTGTGACTAGTGGCTGACATTTAGAGGATGTCTGGCTGTTGGCTGCAGCCACAGAAAAGATCAAAGCTCCCTGGCAGAGACCTATCCAAACATGTTCTAACGGGCAGAGGACACAGGGCAGGTAGACCCTGCCATGGAGCCAAATGACAGAATTTGGCAATTCTGTAATTCCTCTGAACTCAAATAACCAGAAGTCACAGATTGGCAGTCCACGAGTTCACTCCCTGCTATATATACACACAACTTGTTTGGCCACAGTGGTTTTTTGTTTTAAGTTACCGACTTTTTTTTTTTTTTTTTTGAGACAGAGTCTCACTCTGTCACCCAGGTTGGGGTGCAGTGGCACAATCTCAGCTCACTGCAACCTCCACCTCCTGGGTTCAAGTGATTCCCCTGCCTCAGCCTCCCAAGTAACTGGGATTGCAGGCACGTGCCACCATGCCCAGCTAATTTTTGTATTTGTAGTAAAGATGGGGTTTCACTATGTTGCCCAGGCTGGTCTTGAACTCCAGACCTCAAATGATCCACATGCCTCAGTCTCCCAAAGTGCTGGGATTACAGTGTGAGCCACCGTGCCTGGCTGTAAGTTACCAACATTTAAAATGTCAGAGATTTCATACAAAAATCTGGACTCCTCCTGCTCTGGAAAAACCAAAAGCCCTAGAAACACTTCTGATTAGCTGTCATCACTTGAGGCCAAATGATCCAACTTAACTTAGGCCAGGGCATGTTGGGTACCAGAGTTCCACCAAGGGCAAAGATAGGTTTTATCGGGCCTGAAGCTTATATTAGTTGGAGTGACTTCTCTAAGTAAAATAAATTGAAATTATAAATACAGAATTGCTAGGGTCCCTCCAGAGGCCTGAGCAAGTAAGGGCTCAGGAAGCTTAAATATCATGTACTTCCACCTCTGGTCCCACCCACAGCTACTGTTTCACACCCGCCCAGTTTGCTACATGTCTGGCCATGCAGGTATCTGAGTCTGTGACCTCTTGCCTATACCTTGTGGCCACCCACACCTGTCACCATTCTTAGGTCCTGGCCCTGATGTTCAGTATAAACACAGCTGGCCCCAGCTCTGTAAGGAAGGCCTCACTCTTCCTCAAACTCCATAACTAAAATGAAAGATTATTTCATTTTATTATTTTTTTTAATTTTTTTTTTTTTAAGACAGAGTCTTGCTCTGTCTTCCAGGCTGGAGTGCAGTGGTGCAATCTCAGCTCACTGCAACTGCCATCTCCCAGGTTCAAGCAATTCTCCTGCCTCAGCCTCCCAAGTAGCTGGGACTACAGGCGCATGCCACCACGCCCAGCTAATTTTTGTATTTTTAGTGGAGACGGGGTTTCACCATGTTGGTCCAGCTGGTCGTGAACTCCTGACCTCAAGTGAACCGCCTGCCTCGGCCTCCCAAAGTGCTGGGATTACAGACGTAAGCCACCATGCCCGGCCGATTTCATTTATTTTAAAAGGTAATAAAAAGAAGTCTTTATCCTTTACAACTCCTTCCCTTGCTAGGTTAAAAGGACAAAAGAGTCCAAGCATCTGTGTAGAGTTCATATACCAGGTGACTCTTTTCGAGCACAGAGGTGTGTGAAAAGCAACAAAAGAAGGAGGGAGGATAATAAACATCTCCTAGGTCTACAGCTGAATTTCTGTTCAATCTGGGATGCTCACAGGCTCACTGAGATTACGCAAGGTCTGGTCCATTGGTCTCTAAATGGCTTTGTTTGGGGAGGGTGAGGGGAAACATGCAAAGAAAAAAAACAGTTTCCTAAACGCATAGAGGACCATGTTGCCACAAGTAGCTTAGAAATGGGCTAATCTGGTCAGGTGCAGTGGCTCACATCTGTAATTCCAGCACTTTGGGAGGCCAAGGTGGGTGGATCACGAGGTCAGGAATTCAAGACCATCCTGGCCAACATGGTGAAACCCCGTCTCTACTAAAAATACAAAAAAATTAGACGGGCATGGTGGCGGGCGCTTGTAATCCCAGCTATTCGGGAGGCTGAGGCAGAGAATTGCTTGAACCCGGGAGGCGGAGGTTGCAGTGAGCCAAGATCACGCCATTGCACTCCAGACTGGGCGACAGAGCGAGACTCCATCTCAAAAAAAAAGGATAATCTGCAGTATTTATTGAGCACCTGCAGTGTACTAACACTACTCTTATATATAAGCATCACACTAGACAAGGTGCTTGCAATCCAGTTGCAGAAACAGATGCCTTCAGAGAAAGTTAGATAACAGAGAATTATTTAATATAACAAAGGCTTGTAGGAATTCAGAGGCTTGACTGGGAAGATGTTCTCAGAGTAGAGAGGACTTGATTTGAACCCCTGGGGACCTGGATGGACAGGGAGAAGGACTGAGAAAATTCCAGATGGAAAGAACAGCACATGCAAAGGAGCAGAGGGGCAGGGCATGGTGGTTCCTGCCTGTAATCCCAGCACTTTGGGAGGCTGAGGCAGGCGGGTCACCTGAGGTCAGGAGTTTGAGACCAGCCTGCCCAAAATGGCGAAACCTCATCTCTCCTAAAAATACAAAAATTAGCCAGGCGTGGTTGTGCACACCTGTAATCCCAGCTACTTGGGAGGCTGAGGCAGGAGAATCACTCGAACTGGGGAGGTATAGGTGGCAGTGAGCCCAGCCCGGGCGAAAAGAGCAAGACTCCATCTCAAAAACAAAAACAAAAAAGGAGCAGAGGAGACTCAGAAGTGTTTAGGGAATCGGGAGGAGGCCAGCCTGTTATGGTAAATAACAGGAACGGGAAAGTAACCAGGGACCTGATCTCCAAGGAGCTTCAATTTTAGATGAAGGACTTTGCATTGTCTAGAATTATCTAGATAACAGGCTTTTGGATTGATTGATAATGGGCTTAGAGTCTGTATTAGAGAACAATAAATATAATAAAATTGCACTTAGGCAGTGCTTTTCAGTTTAGTGAAAATAAACGTTGCTACCTCTTCCTATTTGATTGTTATTTATGCTCTGCATTATACAATCCACGCTTATGGTAGAAATCTGGGCTAGGTGCAGTGGCTTATGCCTGTAATCCCAACAATTTGGGAGGCCAAGGCAGGAGGATCACTTGAGTCCAGGAATTCAAGACCAGTCTGGGCAACATAGTGAGATCCTGTCTCTATCAATATCAATATATAAAATATATATATTTTTAAATTAGTCAGATGTGGTGGCACACACCTGTACTCTCAACATCTTGAGATGAGAGAATTGCTTGAGCCCAGGAGTTCGAGGCTACAGTGAGCCATGATTGCACCATTGCATTCTATCATGGGTTACAGAGCAAGACCCTTTCTCAAAAAGGAAAGGAAAGGAAAGGGGAGGGGAAGGGAGGGGAGGAGAGGGAAGGGGAGGGGAGGGGAGGAGAGGGAAGGGGAGGGGAGGGGAGGGGAGGGGAGGGGAGGAGAGGGGAGGGGAGGAGAGGGAAGGGAACCAGTTAACATTTTGGCATATTTTCTTCCTGTTTCATTTTAAATATGTATTTATTTCAAAATAGAACCAGTGTATCTATTTTCACACAACACCATATTATGAAACTTTCCCCGTGACATGGAATATTCTTTGAAAACAAAATGTCTTGGTCTGTTCTGTGTTGCTATTACAGAAGACCTGAAGCTGGGTGATTTATCAAGAAAATACATGTATTTGGCTCATGATTCTGGTGGCTGGAAAATCCAAGATTGGGAAGGGGCATCAGGTGAGGGCCTCCACTCCAGGCAGAAAACAGGAGGGAAGTGGAGGTGTGCAAAGATCACATGGCAAGAAAGGAAGCAAAAAAGAAAAACTGGGGAAGCCAGACTTTTTTTTTTCAGGGTCTCACACTATTACCCAGGTTGGAGTGCAGTGGCATGATCACGGCTCACTGCAGCCTCCAACCCTTAAGCTTAAGCAATACTTACGCCTTAGCCTCCTGAGTAGCTGGAGCTACAGGCCCATGCCACCATGCCTGACTAATTTTTTAATTTTTATTTTTGTAGAGATGAGGTCTTGCTATGTTGCTCAAGCTGGTCTCAAACTCCTGGGCTCAAGCCATCCTCTTGCCTCAGCCTCCAAAGTGCTGGGATTGCAGGTGTGAGCCCTGTGTCCAGCCAGACTTTTTTTTTTTCTTTTTAACAATCTCTGTCTGCTCTGGAAGGAACTAATCTATTCCTGCCAGAGGAACTAATCTATTCCTGCCAGAGGGAGAACTCATTTACCCTTGCAGAAAAGCACTAATGTAATGTTTGTTTGTTTATTTATTGAGATGAAGTCTTGCTCTGTCGCCCAGGCTGGAGTGCAATGGCGCCATCTGAGCTCACTGCAAGCTCCGCCTCCCGGGTTCACACCATTCTCCTGCCTCAGCCTCCCGAGTAGCTGGGACTACAGGCGCCCACCACCACGCCTGGCTAATTTTTTGTATTTTTAGTAGAGACGGGGTTTCACCATGTTAGCCAGGATGGTCTCGATCTCCTGACCTCATGATCCGCCCGCCTCAGCCTCCCAAAGTGCTGGGATTACAAGAGTGAGCCACCGCGCCCAGCCGCAGAAGAGAGCTAATCTATTAATGAGGGAACTGTCCCCCTCCCAAACACCTCCTACTAGGCCCTACCTCCCAAAACAGCTACATTGGGTATCAAATTTCAACATGAGTCTGGCAGGGACAAACCACATCCAAACCATAGCACAAGATGTTTACCAGCCATATAATCTTCCATTTTCTTGATATATCATAATGTTGTTTATAATTGTTCTCTGTTGAATATTTGAGTTGCTTCCAATTGTTCATTATTACAAATGATGCTGCAATAAAATCCCAGGATATAAATATTGGTCTGCATCTCTCTGATGACTGTGTGATATGAAATTACTGGAGCAAAGGGCATAAATATTTTTAGGACTGTTGATATATATTGACAAATTGATTTTGAAAAATATTTTAGCAATTTACACCTTCATCAAATGTACATAAAAGGGCTTGTTTTCCTGCAAATGTAACCTAGAGTTAAATATTCTTCTTATCTTTACTAATTTGATGAGGGAAAACTAGAATCACAGAATTGCATTTAAATAATCATTTTGTTCCTTGTATGTGTGAATTCTTTAAAATATATTTTCCATTAATGTGTATTTCTAATGAATTATCTATATTTTTGCCTACTTTTTGCTTACTTTTCTCTTGGTGCAAGCATTCATTACATATATATGTATATATAATTTTTTTTTTTTTTTTTTTTTTTAGAGACAAGGTTTTACCCTGTTTCCCAGGCTGGAGTACATGGGTGCAATCATAACTCATAGCATCCTGGAACTCCTGGGCTCAAGTGGGCTCAAGTGATTCTCCCACAAGTAGTTAGGGCTAGAAGCATGTGTCACTACATCTGATGATTTTTTCATTTTTTGTAGAGACAGGATGCTGCTATGTTTCCCAGGCTGTTCTCAAACTTCTGGGCTCAAGCAATCCTCCTACCTGGGCCTCCCAAAGCACTGGGATTACAAATGTGAGCCACTGCACTGGCCTGTTTCATATATATATATATATATATATATATATATATATATATATATATATATATATTTTGTTGTTGTTGTTTGTTTGTTTGTTTTTGTTTTTGTTTTTTTTTTGAGACGGAGTCTCACTCTGTCCCCCAGGCTGGAGTGCAGTGGCGCGATCTCAGCTTGCTGCAAGCTCCACCTCCCGGGTTCACGCCATTCTTCTGCCTCAGCCTCCTGAGTAGTTGGGACTACAGGCGCCCGCCACCACGCCCGGCTAATTTTTTGTACTTTTAGTAGAGACGGGGTTTCACCATGTTAGCCAGGATGGTCTCGATCTCCTGACCTCGTGATCCGCCCGCCTCAGCCTCCCAAAGTGCTGGGATTACAGGCATGAGCCACCGCGCCCAGCTGTTTTATATTTTTAAAGCTCTTAATATATTTCATTGGTGTTTGTTGTAATATGTGTTTTAATTTTGCTTATGATATTTTGACCAAAAAATGTTTTACATTTTATATAATGTAATCTATGGGTCTTTCCCTTTTTAATTACTTCCATTTTTTAAAATGACATTGTCTACATAGGCCGAGCATGGTGGCCCATGCCTGTAATCTCACACTTTGGGAAGCTGAAGCAGACAGATCACTTGAGGTCAAGAGTTCGAGACCAGCCTGACCAACATTTCGAAACACGTCTCTACCAAAAATACAAAAATTAGCATGAAATTTGCTTGAACCCAGGAGGCGGGGATTGCAGTGAGCAGAGATGGGGCCACTGCACTCCAGCCTGGGCAACAGAGTGAGACTCTGTCTCAATAAATAAATAGGCCGGGCGTGGTGGCTCATGCCTGTAATCCCAGCACTTTGGGAGGCCGAGGCGGGTGGATCGCCTGAGGTCAGGAGTTCAAGACCAGCCTGGCCAACATGGCGAAACCCCGTCTCTATTAAAAATACAAAAATTAGCCGGGTGTGGTGGCACACACCTGTAATCCCAGCTACTGGGGAGGCTGAGGCAGGAGAATCGCTTGAATCTGGGAGGTGGAGGTTGCAGTGGGCCAAGATCACACCACTGCACTCCAGCCTGGGTGACAGAGCAAGACACCATCTCGAAAAATAAATAAATAAATAATAAATTACAATGTCCTGTTTGACTCTGAGATCATTTAGATCTTCTTTTGGATTTTTTTTAATGGTTTTGTTACTGCATCTTACTCTTCATCCATCTTGAATTCATTTTGACATGGTTTGATCTCTGATGGTGAAGGTAAACATAACTTGAGACCTCTCTCAGATATTTCATTCTCTTACCATCATTAATTAAATAATTCATCCCTTTAGCAATGGTTTGTAAAACGCCTTTATCATAAACTCTTATTACGTGTTCTGGGATCTGCTTATGGTGGTCTTCTGTGTTCTATTCATCCATATTCTACTATTTTTACCAATAACACACTGCTTCAATTACTGTAATCTTACATACACCTATAGAACTTTTCATTGTTTCAAAGATCTTTCATGCATGTATGCATGTACCTTTTTTTTTTTTTTTGAGACAGAGTCTCACTCTGTTGCCCAGGCTGGAATGCAGCAGTGTGATCTCAGCCCACTGCAACCTCAGCCTCCCAGGTTCAAGCCATTCTCATGCCTCAGCCTCTCAAGTATCTGGGATTACAGGTATGCACCACCGCACCTAATTTTTTTTTTTTTTTTTTTTTTTGGTAGAGATAGGGTTTCCCCATGTTACCCAGGCTGGTCTCAAACTCCTAGCCTCAAGTGATCCACCCCTCTCAGCCTCCCAAAATGCTGGGATTACAGGCATAAGCCACAGCACCTGGCCTCATGCATACACTATATATATTTTTTTTTTTTGAGACGGAACCTCACTCTGTCACCAGGCTGGAGTGCAATCTTGGCTCGCTGCAACCTCTGCCTCCGGGTTCAAGCAATTCTGCCTCAGCCTCCAAAGCAGCTGGGACTACAGGCACATGCCACCATGCCTGACTAATTTGTGTATTTTTAGTAGAGACGGGGTTTCACTATGTTGGCCAGGATGGTGTCGATCTCTTGACCTCATGATCTACCCACCTCGGCCTCCCAAAGCGCTGGGATTACAGGCGTGAGCCACTGCGCCCAGCCTTACGTGTACTTTTATACATTATTCCATGTAAAAATATAGATCATTCATTTCTCTCATTTCTTTTGTCCCACTTATTACTCATGTAAAAGCAAATGTTCTCAGAAACATATGTCTGGACTAAATCTAAGAAAAGGATTTTGCAATTCTGGGCCTCTTCTTGGGTGCAAAAAAAACAAACAAACAAAATAAAAAGCGTGGTCTGGTTTTTAAAATGAAACACTACTAAATTGAAGAAACCAAAACAAAACAGTAGTGAAATCTGAGCATAAGCTTGTTTCATTTATTTTTTTTTTAATTGAGAAAGGGTGTGTTAATTTCTTTTTTTTTTTTTTTTTTTTTTTTTTTTGAGATGGAGTCTCACTCTGCCCCCAGGCTGGAGTGCAGTGGCGCAATCTCAGCTCACTGCAACCTCTGCCTCCTGGGTTCATGCGATTCTCCTGCCTCAGCCTCCCAAGTAGCTGGGACTATAGGTGCATGCCACCATGCCCAGCTAATTTTTGCATTTTTAGCAGAGACAGAGTTTCACTATGTTGGCCAGGCTATTCTCGAACTCCTAACCTCATGATCCGCCTGCTCGGCCTCCCAAAGTGCTAGGATTACAGGCATGAGCCACCGCACCCAGCCCACTTACTCTATTCTTTAGGAGTGACACATGAATCAACGATGGAGTCCACACTGAATGTCATCTACTGGGGCTCATGTTCCCAGAAAGAGGGTCTGTAGTGGCAGGTACCTATCACCAATGCAGCTCCCTCAGTATGGGGTCAACTGTCAAGGACTTAGGGAAGTCTGCTTCATCCAAGTATAAACCTTTGCAAATCAGCTTGACTTGGAGCCTTTGCCATCAGCACAAGCCACATCATAGCTGAGTGCAACAGCCTAACTGATCAGAACATGGTGGCCAGGAGGCCTGGGTGGTTGACTGTCCTTCTACTCTAACAGTCTTCCTTGCTTTCCTTACTCAGTTATCCTTGGGAAATGAGTATCCTGGTTCACAAGCAATCTCTAGGCAAGCTGTGCGTCAAGAAAACCCACCGCCATCACTAGAAAACAACTAGAAGTGTTCATCCTCTTAGGAAGAGGCAAGTCGGTCCACCTCACCATCAGTGAATGGCACATGACCATCAATCAGCACAGGCTTGTTGAATGAATGCGTGCATGAATGAATGACACTGGTCTAGGCTGTCTTTCACATGTCTTCATTCTTGTCAAAGACAGCCTAGACCACGCCCTAGGCTAAATAATAGTCAATATCAGGTCATGATCTTAGCCATTTGGAAATTTTTACATGGCCTGAACATGTGTGTAATTTCTTTTTCTTTTCTTTTCTTTTTTTTTTTTTTGAGATGGAGTCTCGCTTTGTCACCCAGGCTGGAGTGCAATGGCATGATCTCAGCTCACTGCAGCTTCCACCTCCCCAGTTCAAGCGATTCTCCCGCCTCAGCCTCTTGAGTAGCTGGGATTACAGGTGCCCACCACCATGTCTGGCTGATTTTTGTATTTTTAGTAGAGATGGGGTTTTGCCATGTTGGCCAGGCTGGTCTCAAACTCCTGACCTCAGGTGATCCGCCTGCCTCAGCCTCCCAAAGTTCTAGGATTATAGGCATGAGCCACTGTGCCCAGCCTGTAATTTCTTTTCTCTATCTTGAACAACTCAAAAGAATGTTAAAAAAAGAAAAAAAAAAAAAAGATATATGTGCCAAGCAAGCCGCATCACGTCCAAGTCTTCTTGGAGCTAGAGAGACAGCTTTGTGTGTTTTTCTGCAGATGGGTAAATAAGAATGAGATGAAGGAGAGAGAGGGGCCTGTTGATGGGAACAAGTATCAGATGCCCCCATTAAAAACAAGCGCTGGTGGCCAGGCGTGGTGGCTCACGCCTGTAATCCCAGCACTTTGGGAGGCCGAGGCGGGTGTATCACCTGAGGTCAGGAGTTCGAGACCATCCTGGCCAACATGGTGAAACCCCGTCTCTACTAAAAATACAAAAATTAGACAGGTGTGGTGGCAGGCACCTGTAATCCCAGCTACTCGAGAGGTTGAGGCAGGAGAATCACTTGAACCCAGGAAGCAGAGGTTGCAGTGAGCCGAGGATGCGAGACTGCACTCCAGCCTGACGACAGAGCGAGACTGCACCTAAAAACAAAAACAAAAACAAGCGCTGGCCCAGGAAGGCACACAGCCATCTGATTTCCTCTGCATTTTCTTTGGACTGTGTTTTCACAGAAATTGATGTTTCTGAAGAATATCTTGCCTGGAGCAGCTCATCTTTTCCAGAAATGGCCATGAAAAAAAAAGGGGGTCCTGAGCAAGGGAACACTCTTTGTGTTGCAATTAGTTGGGGTTTCTTTGGTTCACAGTGACATCCTCCCTTCTCTCTATACACACAATAAATACATGCACCCACCGTGGCAAGCCAGGTGTCGGCCGCTGCTAAAGTGTGGCAGGTATAGGCATGAAAATTTTCTGAAACAAATCAAACCTCATTAAATCAGAAGGAAGACTGATCATAATTGGAGAAAATCATCATCTCAGCATTTTAAAAAGGAGGATGACAATCTGGCCTAACAGAAAGCTGCCTCATAGAGGTGTCCATGGGGACAACATTAATAAACTGGGAATAAGACACATACTTAATAGGGATTGTTGTCTGGAAAGAAATGCATGTTACCAAGGCACTGAAAACTCCCCCAAAACAGTAAAGTCTCCAACATCTTTGTTTATTGTATTCATTTGTATGATCTTTTTTGTTTTTGTTTTTGTTTTTGTTTTTGTTTTTTGCGGGGGGTGGAGGCGGAGACGGAATCTTGCTCTGTTGCCCAGGCTGGAGTGCAATGGCGCAATCTTAGCTCACTGAAACCTCCGCCACCTGGGTTCAAGTGATTCTCCTGCCTCAGCCTCCCGAGTAGCACGGACTACAGGCACACACCGCCATGCCCAGCTAATTTTTGTATTTTTAGTAGAGATGGGGTTTCACCATATTGGCCAGTTGATCTCGAACTCCTGACCTCGTGATCTGACCACCTCGGCCTCCTAAAGTGCTGGAATTATGGGCGTGAGCCACCACACCCAGTGAAAAGAATTTTTTTTTTTTTTTTTTTTGCTAAGTAAATGCAGAAAGCCTTCAAATCAGCCATTGCTTGGTCGCTGTGAATTTTAAATTAGAAGTGTCTGAACTCAATGAACCTGCATCACAGACCGAAATTCATCATTTCATCGTCTACCATAAAACCTGCACACATGGCCAAGCCTCGGTTACCCACTTCTATAGCCACTACTTTGTTGGTGCAATAAGGCTGATTTCCAACCTCCATCTGACTTCTTCCTTGATTCCCCCTCCCAGCTTCCATACCTTGAGCTACTGTAAGCTCACAAAATGCAAATTAACATCAATATTAGCCTAAACAGAACAAGTAAGTCTCATCAATAATGGATTCCAGAGGCAAACAGGGATTTTTTTTTTTTTTTGGCAGAGTCTTGCTTTGTCACCCAGGCTGGAGTGCAGTGGTGCGATCTCGGCTCACTGCAACCTCCATCTCCCCGGTTCAAGTGATTCTCCTGCCTCAGCCTCCTAAGTAGCTGGGACTATAGGCGCACGCCACCACTCCCAGCTAACTTTTGTATTTTTAGTAGAGACAGGGTTTCACCGTGTTGGCCAGGATGGTCTCAATCTCCTGACCTCGTGATCTGCCCGCCTTGGCCTCCCAAAGTGCTGGGATTACAGGGATGAGCCACCGCGCCCGGCCTCAAACAGGGATTTTTCAAAGTCACCTGCCATTTGGACTAGCCCCACGCGCACCCTCTTGATCCCCACGGAGCACTGCAGGCAGCTGGAGGCAGGAGAGTCTGGTGGTTAGGAAAACAGGCTTCGGCACTAGACAGAACTGGGTTTCAACCCCAGCTCCGCCTAGCACATAAGTCCTCTGAGCCTCCGTTTCCTCATCTGTGAAATTGGCGAGATTGGACATAAAGACCTGGGCACACTGCTAAGGACAAAGAACAGAAACAAGAAACCATAGCTGTTACCATCAGTGGCAAAAAAGAATTACTTCTAAGGAGGCACCAACCTCCCCACTTCTAAATAAGGGACTAGGCAGGGTGCAGTGGCTCACGCTTGTAATCTCAGCATTTTGGGAGGCCATGGTGGGAGGATCACCTAAGCCCAGGAGTTTGAGCCCAGCCTGGGCAACTTGGTGAGACCCTGTCTCTAATTAAATAAAAATAAAAATAAAAATTTTAAATTAAAAAAAAATTAAAATTAAAGTTCAAAATTAAATAAGAGGCAGGCACACCTGTCATCCCAGCACTTTGGGAGGCCAAGGTGGGAGGATCACTTGAGCCCAGGAGTTTGACACCAGCCTGGCCAACATGGTGAAACCCTGTCTCTACTAAAAACACAAAAATGAGCTGGGTGTGGTGGTGTGCTCCTGTGGTCCCAGCTACTCGGGACAGGAGAACTGCTTGAACCTGGGAGACAGAGGTTGCAGTGAGCCAAGATCATGCCACTGCACTCCAGCCTGGGGGACAGAATAAGACTCCGTTAAAAAAAAAAAAAAAATTGCAGGGCACAGTGGCTCACACCTGTAATCCCAGCACTTTGGGAGGCTGAGGTAGGCAGATCACGAAGTCAGCAGTTCAAGACAAGTTTGGCCAACATAGTGAAACCCCGCCTCTACTAAAAAATACAAAAATTAACTGGGCGTGGTAACAGGCACCTGTAGTCTCAGCTACTTGGGAGGTTGAGGCAGGAGAATCACTTGAACCCGGGAGGCAGAGGTTGCAGTGAGCTGAGACCGTGCCATTGCACTCCAGCCTGGGTGACAGAGCAAGACTCCGTCTCAAAAAAAAAAAATTTAATAAGTAAATAAATAAGGGACAGAAAAGATGAAATCAATCCTCCATCTCCCTACAGCTAAGAGGTGAAGGGACATGGAAAATGGAAAATGCTTTCATGCAAATGACAAGTCATAGTGACAGTGAGAGGTGAAACCAGCTGGGCTTCTGGGTCGGGTGGGGACTTGGAGAAATTTTCTGTCTAGCTAGAGGATTGTAAATGCACCAATCAGCAGTCTAAAAATGCACCAATCAGCACTCTGTGTCTAGCTAAAGGACTGTAAACACACCAATCATCACTCTGTAAAACCGCACCAAACAGCGCTCTGTGTCTAGCTAAAGGACTGTAAACACACCAATCAGCACTCTGTAAAAACGCACCAATCAGCACTCTGTGTCTAGCTAAAGGATTGTAAATGCACCAATCAGCACTCTGTGCCTAGCTAAGGGATGGTAAACGCACCAATCAGCACTCTGTAAAATGGACCAGTCAGCAGGACCTGGGTGGGGCCAAATAAGGGAATAAAAGCTGGCCACCTAAGCCAGCAGGGGCAACCCGCTCGGGTCTCCTTCCACACTGTGGAAGCTTTATTCTTTCACTCTTCACAATAAATCTTACTGCTGCTCACTCTTTGGGTCCACACTACCTTTATGAGCTGTAACACTCACTGCGAAGGTGTGCAGCTTCACTCCTGAAGTCAGCGAGACCACGAACCCACCAGGAGGAATAAACAACTCTGGACGTGCCACCTTTAAGAGCTGTAACACACACAGTGAAGGTCTGTGGCTTCACTCCTGAAGTCAGCGAGACCACAAACCCACCAGAAGGAAGAAACTTTGGACACACCATCTTTAAGAACTGTAACACTCACCGCGAGGGTCCGTGGCTTCATTCTTGAAGTCAGTGAGATCAAGAACTCACTGGAAGGAACCAATTGTGGACACAACAGTATTTGATAACCTGAAGATCCAGTCTGTGAAGGAGACCTCCTTCAAAGGGAGCCAGCACTTGAAACATCCCGGCTGTCTCTGGAGAGTTACATAGAGGAAGCCACTGGAAACTGGGCCAGTCCAGATAGATGATCCAAAAACATAAAGTAACTGCTGGAAGCCTACCAGACCCGCTGTCTCAGAAGGAGTCCCCAGAGGTGTGGGGTGCAGTACTGTGGTAAGGGTGGGGCGACCACTTTGTAGCACAGCTCAGCCCCACCTCAGGAGCCCCAACCCCCCCTCAAATACCAACAGCCCCAATTGGATAAAGGAACGTTTTTCCAAAAGTTCATGGAGATGTTGACTTTAGAAACGCAAAGCACGTTTTCCTCCAAACCATCTTCCACACAGTTGCTGGATTTTTGTCAGATCAAGCCCACAAAGATTCCAGAGTTAAAGGGGAAGCTGGGGGGAAGGCCCGGGACTGAGCCTGAGCCCGGGGCCCAGTGCCCTGCTGAGTTGCAGCAACTGGGCAGCAAAATAAAGCCTTCTTGTGCCTCAGTTTCCTCACCTTGAATTGGAAATGACAGTGTACCTATCTCATGGCATTGTTGCAAAGATTAAGTGAGTTAATGCATATAAAGTGTTTAGGTACTTCCCAGCACATAGCAGGTGCTCAATAAATTAGCTGTTATTATCTCTCTCTTTTTTTTAAGAAACAGGGTCTGTTGCCCCGACTGGAGTTCAGTGGAATGATCACTGCAGCCTCAGACTGTTGGTCTCAAGTGGTCCTCCTGTCTCAGCCTCCCAAGTAGCTGGGACTATAGGCATATGCTATTGCACCTGGCTAATTTTTTTATTTTTGTAGAGATGAGGTCTTGCTATGTTTCCCAGGCTGATCTCAAACTCCTGGCATCAAACAGTCCTCCTGCCTCAACCTCCCAAAGTGTTGGGATTACAGGGGTGAGCCACTGCACCTGGTCCAGCTGTCATTATCTTTGTTATGAAACCATGAGGTCACAGGGTAGGAGCCTCAGGATGGCTGCAGCAGGGAACGTAGGCCTCCAAGGACGGTTAGGAAATTTACAAGAACCCTGTGGTGAAGGAGGAGGACCTGGGGCAGCAGCCTCCCACGGCGGCCATTTATTGAGCACTTAGGATGTTCCAGGCATGGTGCGTCATCCCTTTTGCCTCCTGCCAGCAAAGCTTTTAGGGAGTTGTTCTTGTGGCTGCTGTCACTTCCAGTTTGTTAATGAGGACTGGAGCCTGGAGAGGGAAAGGAACTCATTTGCACCATGACATCCCTTCAATGGCCTCCCCTTAGGTGCTGGGCCCGGAAAATGTGAGTGGCCTTTGTAAGCAGAATCTTTATCAGTAACGTCCATGTTAAGAACAACCCTTTGGGAGGCCAAGGCAGCTGGATTGCTTGAGTCCAGGAGTTTGAGACCAGCCTGGGCAACATGGTGAAACCCCATCTCTAAAACAAAAACAAAAACAAAAACAAAAACAAACAAACAAAAAATTTAGCTGGGTGTGGTGGTGTGTACCTGTGGTTCCAGCTCCCAGGGAGGCTGAGATGGGAGGATCAATTGAGCCCAGGAGTTTGGGGCTGCAGTGAGCCATGATTACACCACAGCAATCCAGCTTGGGTGATAGAACAAGACCTTGTCTCAACAAAAGGAAAAAAAAGAAAAAGAAAACACCACCACCAACGGCCTTCACACACCACAAGAGAGAAAGGCTGAAAATGTGAGCCCTGTGAGATCATCCTTTTCTCATTTTGACTCCCCAAGAAATTCCAACTTCTCTTTTTTTTTTTTTTGTTTTTTGAGACGGAGACTCGCCTGTCACCAGGCTGGAGTGCAGTGGTGCAATCTCGGCTCACTGCAACCTCCGCCTCCTGAGTTCAAGTGATTCTCCTGCCTCAGCCTCCTGAGTAGCTGGGACTACCAGCACGCACTACCACGCGAAGCTAATTTTTGTATTTTTAGTAGAGATGGGGTTTCACCATGTTGGCCAGGGTGGTCTCGATCTCCTGACCTCGTGATCCGCCTGCCTCGGCCTCCCAAAGTGCTGGGATTATACACATGAGCCACCACGCCCGGCCGAAATCCCAACTCTCAGAGCTATTAGGCAACATCTCCTATGAAGGAGCGTTGATTGTCCTCTTCTTCAGTAGAACGTTCTCTGCATACTGCCACTGTATCTCATGAGTTCCTGGATCCATTTCTATACCCAAAGCAATGAAAGCTACAAAGAGGGCATAGGTGGGCTAACCTGGGTGCCCTAGGATGGGAAGCTGACACCGGCATTTCTAGCATTTGTGAAAATTGCTGTCTGCTCCTACTGATGAAGACAATTCAGAAAGGAAGTCGTTTCCATTGCACAGGAAATTTTCAGGGGACTAGTCATCAATTATTGCTATCCTAAGAGGCAACCAAAAAGCCTGGTAGGGCCAGGTGCGGTGGCTCATGCCTGTAACCCCAGCACTTTGGGAGGCTGAGGCAGGTAGATCACGAGGTCAGGAGTTCGAGACCAGCCTGACCAACGTGGTGAAACCCCATCTCTACTAAAAATACAAAAATTAGGCAGGTGTGGTGGCGGGTGCCTGTAATCCCAGCTACTCGGGAGGCTGAGGCAGGAGAATCACTTGAACCCAGGAGGCAGACGTTGCAGTGAGCCAAGATTGCACCACTGCACTCCAGCCTGGTGACAGGGTGAGGGATTACAGGCACGTGCCACCACGCCCAGCTAAATTTTGTAGTTTTAGTAGAGACGGGGTTTCACCATGTTGGCCAGGATGGTCTCGATCTCCTGACCTCATGATCCACCTGCCTTGGCCTCCCAAAGTGCTGGGATTACAGGCATGAGCCATCACACCCAGCCAATTTTTGTATCTTTAGTAGAGACGGGGTTTCTTCATGTTGACCAGGCTGGTCTAGAACCCCTGACCTCAAGTGATCCTCCCTCCTCAGCCTCCCAAAGTGCTGGGATTACAGGCGTGAGCCACTGCGCCCAACCAGAAGTGACTCAAATTTTGACAAAAATATTATTTTGGTCTTTATGAATATATGACTATCCTTCTCATTGTTTCATTTTGCCTTTTCATAGTTTCCAGTTTTGTTCTTTGCCATGGTTGCAAAGAAAAACATCTTTAAATCCTTGAGAATCAAATTAAAGTCAAGTCAGGGAACTTTTTCCTACTTAATATTATAAGAATATTTGTCAGGGGAATCCCCTGGCATCCAACCAGAACTCACCCTCACAAACTGGAGAATTTTCTCAAGGCAGATTACTATGTCCTAGACAAGGAAACCTCTACCTCTTTCTTGCATTATTTTTTTCCCTTTTCTCTTTTTTTTTTTTTTTTTGTTTTGTTTTGTTTTGTTTTGAGATGGAATTTCGCTATTGTCGCCCTGGCTGGAGTGCAATGGCACAATCTCAGCTCACTGCAACCTTTGCCTCCCAGGTTCAAGTGATTTTCCAGCCTCAGCCTCTCCTGTAGCTGGGATTACAGGCATGCACCACCATGCCCAGCTAATTTTTGTATTTTTAGTAGAGACAGGGTTTCACCATGTTGGTCAGGCTGTCCCAAACTTCTGACCTCCAGTGATCCACCCACTTGGCCTCCCAAAGTGCTGGGATTACAGGTGTGAGCTACCGTGCTGGCCAATTTTTTTCCTTTATAATGAGAAATTCTCATTGTTAGATGCATTTTACAAAAACTACAATTGGTTTTGCAGGCTTAAGTGCTCTGAAAGTTCCGTGCATAGTACTAACAGAAGCCC
Source organism: Homo sapiens (assembly GCF_000001405.40). NCBI lineage: Eukaryota > Metazoa > Chordata > Mammalia > Primates > Hominidae > Homo > Homo sapiens. The sequence continues at coordinate 12,305,622 of NC_000010.11, read as the reverse complement.
CTTTTTTCAGCTGAAAAGGTCACACCAACTATGCACTCAGTTCACTTGGGATTATTTCTATTGGCAGAATACTCTAAGTTAAATGTAATTAATGGAGAAAGATCATTTAGTAAAGAAAAATTGGATTTAAATATTTGACATCTCAAGATTTCTCTATCTAATCACCTCATAGCATCATCAGCTATGGCATTTGGATGAAGAGGAGGGCAAAATAAGGTGTAATCCTCACCCTCAAGGATCTAAATTCTGTGCTTGGGACCCAAACTATTCCAGTGAATACAGTAAAATAGCGCATGACCTAATCAAATCTTGGATTCGTCTTCATAATAAAACAAGCAGGAGGCTTATTTGGCTTAAAATTATAACTGATTTGATCCTTAAAGCCGTTTGACCAAATGGATCCTTTGGCTATTTTGTTTGGTTGTCATTCATTCATTTATCTACTTAACATTTATTGGGCACCTATGACAGGGTAGGCACTATGCTGAGTGTTGGAGATTTCACAGGAAACAAGTCATCCCAATGGCTTGTTTCCATGGGTGGGTTTTGCCAGCCTTCTTTGTCATGGGGTTGGGGGTGATCACGGAAATGCCTAGAATAGTGTTGGAATAGCTTCTCTTCTCTGCTCCTGAGAGTCAGCTAAGGATCTGAAAGATGCCCAGGTGTCTGAGATGAGACTGAGGTGAGGGGTGAGATGGTTTCCTTTTTTTTTTTTTTTGAGACACAGTCTCATTCTGTCACCCGGGCTGGAGTGCAGTGGCGAGATCTCAGCTCACTGCAGCCTCTGCCTCCTGGGTTCAAGCAATTCTCCTGCCTCAGCCTCCCGAATAGCTGGGATTACAGGTGCCCACCACCACACCCAGCTAATTTTTCTTTTTGTATTTTTAGTAGAGACGAGGTTTCACCATGTTGGCCAGGATGGTCTCAATCTCTTGACCTCGTGATCTGCCCGCCTTGGCCTCCCAAAGTGCTGGGATTACAGGCGTGAGCCACCGTGCCCGGTCAGATGGTTTCCTTTCTTACCAGCTTCCCCCAGCCTTCTTAGACAGAAGCCCTTCATACTGCAAAGAGCTGGTTCCATGTCGACCTTTCCAAAGCTCTTAGTGTCCTCCTGGTGTTTCCACTCAATGCAAACCCTGTCTGAAATCCAAGTGCCAATTAAAGGAGGTCTGATGCAGAGCCGGACGCGGTGGCTCAGGCCTGTAATCCCAGCACTTTGGGAGGCCGAGGCCGGCGGATCACGAGGTCAGGAGATCGAGACAGTCCTGGCTAACACGGTGAAAACCCATCTCTACTAAAAATACAAAAAATTAGCTGGGCGTGGTGGCGGGCGCCTGTAGTCCCAGCTACTTGGGAGGCTGAGGCAGGAGAATGGCGTGAACCCGGGAGGCGGAGCTTGCAGTGAGTCGAGATCCCGCCACTGCACTCCAGCCTGGGCGACAGAGCGAGACTCCGTCTCAAAAAAAAAAAAAAAAAAAGGAAGTCTGATGCAGACCAAATTTAAGATGCTACAGATTGGGGCCTTTCGAATAGGAAATATGCACTGTTCCCTCAGGAGCACAGAAATGTCTGGAAGGAGGTATTGGGGTGGGGATAGTGGGCCACCCTGGTGCACATTCTTCCTGGTGCCTAAAGCTGTAGTCCTCTCAGTCCTTCAGTACGTCAGCACAGGCACGTTCTAGAGCATGTTTTATTTATGAGGACTTCTCTAAAAGAAACTATTCACTTTTTTTTTTTTTTTTTGAGACGGAGTGTCGCTCTGTTGCCCAGGCTGGAGTGCAGTGGCACTATCTGGGCTCACTGCAGCCTCCACCTCCTGGATTCAAGCAGTTCTCCACCCTCAGCCTATTGAGTAGCTGGGACTACAGGCACACACCTGGCTAATCTCTTGTACTTTAAGTAAAGACAGGGTTTCGCCACGTTGGCCAGGCTGGTCTCAAACTCCTGACCTCAGGTGATCTGCCCGCCTCGACCTCCCGAAGTGCTGGGATTACAGGCGTGAGCCACTGCGCCCGGCTGACTATTTACTATTCTTCATGGGCAGTGAAAGACATGTCCTGCTTGGAGACGTTGGAATTAAGTCATAGTGCATTCCTTAGTCTGCCTCTCTTACACTTCCTCCTGTGGGGGCTTTCATTTGAAGCTGTAAGCTGCATATTATCAATTCCTTACAGCTAATAAGAGGCATCTACTGTATGCAAGAAGCGTGCTAGGAAGCTGAAAGATACAGAGCCCCTGATTAGGAATGGGGAGGCTGATGGCAAAATAAAGTGACATTTTGATAGGTTCTATAACATGTGTGTATCCCGAGCTCACTGGGAATGCATGGGAGCAAGTGATTACCGTCTTTATTTTTTATTTTTACTTCTTTTGAGACGGTTTCACTGTCACCAAGGCTGGAGTGCAGCGGCACAATCATAGCTCACTGCAGCCTCGACCTCCTGGGCTCAAACGATCCTCCCACCTCAGCCTCCTGAATAGCTGTGACCACAGGTGCACACGGCCATGCCCAGCTAATTTTTTATTTTCATTTTTTGGTAGCCATATGGTCTCGCTATGTTGCCCGGGCTCGTCTTAAGCTCCTGGACTTAAGCCATCCTCCCACCTCAGCCTTTCTAGGTGCTGAGATTACAGGCATGAGCTGAGCCTGGTCGTGATGATCTTCTAAAAGGGGCTTCATAGATATGTTGGAACTCTATAGCTGCAGGGTTGGAATTGCAACATTCCAGGCAGGGGAAACACCAGGAAAAAAGAACAGATGAGAGAGCATGGTATTGGGGAGAACCTCAGACACCCACCGTACCCAGGAATAACACACACTGGGGCACGTCGTGAGATGAGGGTAAGAGGGAAGGTGGTAGATTGGAAGGCTCTCGTGTATGTTGCGCTGAGGGCGCATGACTCAACTGCTAGAAATGGGGGCCGGGCGCGATGGCTCACGCCTGTAATCCCAGCACTTTGGGAGGCCGCAGCGGGCAGATCACGAGGTCAGAAGATCAAGAACATCCTAGTTAACGTGGTGAAACCCCTTCTCTACTAAAAACACAAAAACAAAATTAGCCAGGCGTGGTGGCAGGCACCTGTAGTCCCAGCTACTCAGGAGGCTGAGGCGGGAGAATCGCTTAAACCCGGGAGATGGAGCTTGCAGTGAGCCGAGATGGCGCCAGCGCCACTGCACTCCAGCCTGGGCGAAAGAGCGAGACTCCACCTCAAAAAAAGAAAGAAAAAAAAAAAAGGGAAAACAAGGCCGGGCACGGTGGCTCACTCCTGTAATCCCAGCACTTTGGGAGGCTGAGGAGGGCAGATCACTTTAGGTCAGGAGATCAAGACCAGCCTGGCCAACATGGTGAAACCCCATCTCTACTAAAGATACAAAAATTAGCCGGGTATGGTGTAGGCCTGTAATCCCAGCTACTCCAGAGGCTGAGGTAGGGGAATTGTTTGAACCCGGGAGGCAGAAGTTGCAATGAGCCAAGATCGCGCCCCTGGGCGACAGAGGGAGACTCCATCGCAAATAATAATAATAAAATAAAAGGAGAACAGGTACGTACTCATGACACGTGTCACCCAATCAGAGGTCAGTCTCACAAAAGCAGCATTTGGAGAAGAAATCTGCCTTCCTCCTTCCTACTGGGCAGGAATGAGGGGTGACAGCCTGGAAGAGGAAGAAATTGGAAGTCTGGTGATCAGCAGGACTGGTGCCCTTGTCCCTGTAACCTGCTCCTTGCCCAGCAGACTAAGAGTTCAAACTGCCTTTGGGAAGTTCTTACCCACATGAGCCAGCTCCATCACAGAAGGGCCTGGAAAGCCAGCTGCTTCTTGCCCTAGCTAAGCCACTTCACTGGCCAGAGCTTGTCTCCATCGTCCTCATCCCTGGCCTTCCACTGTGGAACCTGGGAGGCCCTCTCAGTAGATAGCTGGCACTTTGTAGGCTGGGACCAAAGAAGACCACTCTCTCTGTGCTGGGCCCTGATTCTGCGACAATGGCTGGATGCTTGGAGAATTCTACAAATACTCACAGTTCTTACTGTCTTGACCACATTCACATCCGTGTTAGGTTTATAGTTCACATGGCCCTAACCCTGAGAAAAGTCCAGCATAATGGACTCGCGAGGTCAAACAAGAAATCAAAACTCAAGTAGTTATATATGTAGATCTGTTCCATAAGCAATTTTTTTTTTTCCTAGAGACAGGGTCCTCCTCAGTTGCCCAGGCTGGAGTGCAGCAGCACAATTATAGTTTGACTGCAGCCTCAAACTCCTGAGCTCAAGAGATCATCTGCCTCAGCCTCCCAAGTAGGTGGGACTACAGGCGTGTACCACCACACCCAGCTAATTTTTGTATTTTTGGTAGAGATGGGGTCTTGCTATGTTGCCCAGGCTAGTCTCAAACTCCTGGCCTCAAGTGATCTTCCTGCCTTGACCTCCCAAACTGCTGAGATTATGGGCGTGAGCCATAGCGCCTAGCCTGAAAAATTGTTCTTACATCTTACAGGATTCATAACCACCACACCACCTCCTCTCCAGGGTAGCTGAAAGCACGGTGTTCAAATCCTGGCTCTGTCACTGCTTCTGTAACTTTAGACAAACGACTAACTGTGAGTTCTTAGGCAAACACTCATCTACTCTGAACTTCACAAGGGGATACTAGGACCAACTCCAGTGATTTTTGTCAGGACCACATGAGATGATTTAGATAGAAGGGCTTGTAAAATGTCAAACATGACACAAAATGATAGCCATTATAATATTGATTATTATTACTGATATGGTTTGGCCATGTCCCCACCCAAACCTCACCTTGAATTGTAGCTCCCATAATTCCCACATGTTGTGGGAGGGACCCAGTGGGAGATGGTTGAATCATGGTGGCGGTTTCTCCCATACTGTTCTCATGGTAGTGAGTAAGTCTCATGAGATGTGATGATTTTATAAGGGGAAACACCTTTTGCTTTCCTTTCACTCTCTGCTTGCCTGCCACCATGTAAGGCGTGCTTCTTGCCCTTAGCCATGATTGTGAGGCCTCCCCAGCCACATGGAATTGTGAGTCCATTAGACTTTTTTTTTTTTTTTTTTTTTGAGACGGAGTCTCACTCCGTTGCCAGGCTGGAGTGGAGTGGCACGATCTTGGCTCACTGCAACCTCTGACTCCCCGGTTCAAGCAATTCTCCTGCCTCAGCCTGCCGAGTAGCTGGGATCACAGGCACGCGCCACCACGCCCAACTAATTTTTGTATTTTTAGTAGAGACAGAGTTTCACCATGTTGTCCAGGAGGACATGTCTCGATCTCCCGACCTCGTGATCCGCCCACCTTGGCCTCCCAAAGTTCTGGGATTAGAGGCGTAAGCCACCACTCCTGGCCAAACCTCTTTTTCTTTATAAATTACCCAGTCTTGGGTATGTCTTTAGCAGCAGTGTAAAAATGGACTCATACAATTACATAAGGCCCAGTTTTCATCAGACACTCAGTGTTTACAGTTTTGAATAACGGGGAAGACCCGCTGTCATGTTCATGGATGGAGCTGAGAAACGTTCTAGAAAAGCTTCTTGGCTGGGTGTAGTAGCTCACACCTGTACTCCCAGAACTTTGGGAGGTCGAGGCAGGTGGATCACTTGAGGTCAGGAGTTCAAGACTGGTCTGGCCAACATGGTGAAACCCATCTCTACCAAAAATACAAAAATTAGCCGGGCGTGGTGGCATGCGCCTGTAGTCCCGGTTACTCAGGACGCTGAAGCACAAGAATCACTTGAATCTGAGAGGTGGAGGTTGCAGTGAGCCGAGACTGCGTCACTGCACTCCAGCTTGGGCAGCAGAACAAGACTCTGTCTCAAAAAAAAAAAAAGCTTATTTTGTTTCCAGTTACTGGTCCCAGTCTCACATTGGATGGCATTGCCACAGGTTTTTTGGCAGAACTTCTGAGTCCTGAGTGCAGTTGAGCACAAACAAAAGCCTGGCTCTGACCCAACATCTAAATCAATGAATTAGTTCTCCCCTCATCCATTAACCTTGGGCCTGGAGCAGTGGAGGAATTGGGACTCTAAGCTATTTGAGATGCCTGGAGGACTGCAGCAGAAAATGCAGGAGCCCTCAGTCTCCCAAAAAAGGAGTGGCCAAAATAACCAGGGCAATCTGGTCATCTTAGTTTCATCTAATCTTCTAGACAGTTCTACGGGTCAAAATGATGAAAGAACAAAGTGACCAAGAGAGACATTACAAATGAGAGAGGGGTGTGCTCTCCCTATGAGTGATAAACTGCACCTAAGTGACTATATCACCCCTGCTTACTTTTTTTTTTTTTTTTTTTTGAGACGGAGTTTCACTCTTGTCGCCCAGGCTGGAATGCAATGGCGTGATGTCAGCTCACCGCAACCTCCGCCTCCCGGGTTCAAGTGATTCTCCTGCCTCAGCCTCCTGAATAGCTGGGATTACAGGCACCTGCCACCACACCCGGCTAATTTATTTTTGTATTTTTAATAGAGACGGGGTTTTGCTATGTTGGCCAGGCTGGTCTCAAACTCCTGACCTTAGGTGATCCACCCACCTCAGCCTCCCAAAGTGCTGGGATTACAGGTGTGAGCCACCATACCCGGCCCACCCCTACTTACTTTTAAGCCTTCACTTTCGAGATACGTCTTCCCTTCCCCCCGACTTCCCTCCCTAACCTTTCGGAGACTTTCTTAAAAGTGTGATTAAAGATTGATCATGGTGGTTCATGCCTGTAATCCCAGCACTTTGGGAGGCCCACGTAAAAGGATCGCTTGAGCCCAGAAGTTTGAGACCAGCCTGAGCAACATAGCAACATCCTTTCTCAACAAAAAATAAAAATAGCCGGTTGTGGTGGCAGGTACCCGTGGTCCCAACTGCTCAGGAGGCTGAAGCAGGAGGATCGCTTGAGCCCAGGAGTTCAAGGCTGAAGTGAGCTAGGATCTTGCCACTGTATTCCAGCCTCAACTCCTTTAGAGCAAGATCCTGCCTTTAAAACAAAAAAAAATTTTTAAGTGTGGTTGAAAAACAAAACCTAGGCCAGGCACAGGGGCTCACGCCTGTAATCCCAACACTTTGGGACGCCGAGGCAGGCGGATCACCTGAGGTCGGGAGTTTGGAACCAGCCTGACCAACATGGAGAAACCCCATTTCTAGTGAAAATACAAAATTAGCTGGGCATGGTGGCACATGCCTGTAATCCCAGCTACTCAGGAGGCTGAGGCAGGAGAATTGCTTGAACCCAGGAGACGGAGGTTGTGGTGAGCCGAGATCGCGCCATTGCAAGCCAGCCTGGGCAACAAGAGTGAAACTCCATCTCAAAAAAAAAAAAAAAAACTAGGCCAGGGCACAGTGGCTCACACCTGTAATCCCAGCACTTTGGGAGGCCAAGTTGGGCAGATCACTTGAGGTCAGGAGTTCAAGACCCGCCTGGCCAACATGGTGAAACCCCGTCTCTACTAAAAATACAAAAATTAGCCAAGCGTGGTGGCAGGTGCCTGTAATCCTAGCTACTCAGGAGGCTGAGGCAGGAGAATCACTTGAACCCAGGAGGCAGAGGTTGCAGTGAGCCAAGAACAATTGTTTATGGTTTACTGATGGTCTGGTCAGTCCTATGCTAATGAAGGTAGTAGAAAGGGGAATTTGATGTTAAAGGGCAGACGAAATGGTACAGTCAAACTGTGCTCTAAAGAGTCCTACTAGTCCACAACTTTGGACGGACCAAGAGATAGTCCCTTGTTAATGTAATGATATCTAACACAGCTCTCTGTGTTTTATCTATTTTTTGCTTTGTTACACATTGTGCATTTCCAAAAAGGATTTAAGGCACTTTAAAATAAAAGCTGAGGCATCAGAAACTATGGAGAAAAAGGCAGTCATAATTATACCAAGAACCAGGGGTGGGACAAGATTTTTATTGAACACTAAATTTAGCTCATTTTGAGCATCACAGGGACTAACGGAAAAAAAATGTGATGACTCTCTTTTCAGATAATAGCTTTTTCACAATAAAATTAAATTCTAAAAGGAATTTATTATTAAATCAAAATGAGTAAAAACACTACATTTCCTTATCTGGCTCTTTCTTGTTTTGGCCTTTGATAAAAGCCAAGAGGGGACTTGCGGCTGAGCCAGGGTGATTATTTTTATTTTATTTTTTATTTTTATTTTTTTGAGATGGAGTTTCACTCTTGTTGCCCAGGCTGGAGTGCAATGGCGGGATCTCAGCTCACCACAACCTCCGCCTCCCAGGTTCAAGCAATTCTCCTGCTTCAGGCTCCCAAGTAGCTGGGATTACAGGTACACACCACCACACCTGGCTAATTTTGTATTTTTAGTAGAGATGGGGTTTCACTATGTTGGCCAGGCTGGTCTTGAACTCCCGACCTCAGGTGATCCACCCGCCTTGGCCTCCCAAAGAGCTGGTATTACAGGCGTAAGCCACCGTGCCCGAGCCAGGGTGATTCTACAGGTCCAAATGTATTCATGTCTGATGACCAATCTTTATACAAGGGTGGGACTCAGAAGATCTAGACCACAGCCTCTCCAAGCGCCCCTGAGCCTCCGCATCAGATTCACCTGAATTACTCATAAAATATAGATTCTAGAGCCAACCCAGAAGTTTTGAATCAGAATATTGGGAGGAGGGGACATAAATCTCTATTTTTGAAACTTGGTGATTTTTTTCCTTTTTTTAAAAATTATACTTTAAGTTCTGGGGTGCATGTACAGAACGTGCAGGTTTGTTACATAGGTATACATGAGCCATGGTGGTTTGCTGCACCCATCAACCCATCACCTACATTAAGTATTCCTCCTAACGTTATCCCTCCTCTAACCCCCGACCCTGCAACAGGCCCCGGTGTGTGATGTTCTCCTCTCTGCGTCCATGTGTTCTCATTGTTCAACTCCCACTTAAGACTGAGAACACGCGGTGTTTGGTTTTCTGTTCTTGTGATAGTTTGCTGAGAATGACGGTTTCCAGCTTCATCCATGTCCCAACTTGGTGATTCTGATACCCACTAAACTTTAAGACATCGTGATGTAGAGAAGAATAAGTGTGATGGCCCCACATGCATTTACTTTGTTGTTGTGGTTGTTGTGGTTGTTGTTGTTTTCAGATGGTGTCTTCCTTTGTCACCCAGGCTGGAGTGCAGTGGCGCAATACCAGCTCACTGCAACACCAGCTCACTGTAACCTCCACCTCCCAGGTTCAAGCAGTTCTCCTACCTCAGCCTCCTGAGTAGTTGAGATTACAGGCACGTGCCGCCACACCTGTCTAAGTTTTAGATTTTTAGTGGAGATGGTGTTTTACCATGGTGGCCAGGCTGGTCTCGAACTCCTGACCTCAAGTGATCCATCTGCCTTGGCCTCCCAAAGTGCTGGGACTACAGGTGGGAGCCACCGCGCCCGGCTGGCATTTTCTTTTTTATTGTCTGCACTGCCAGTTAGAAAGAGTTCCCTATGCTTTAGATATCTGACACTAGCTACCAGAATTGACAGTTATAAAATTAAGGGTTCTCACACAGACTCTCTTTTTTTTTTTTGAGACAGAGTTTCACTCTGCCACACAGGCTGGAGTGCAGTGGTGCAGTCTTGGCTCACTGCAACCTCTGCCTTCCGGGTTCAGGTGATTCTCCTGCCTCAGCCTCCCAAGTAGCTGAGATTACAGGCTTGCACCACTATGCCCAGCTAATTTTTGCATTTTTAGTAGAGACGGGGTTTCACCACTTTGGCCAGGCTGGTCTTGAACTCCTGACATCAGCTGATCTGCCCACCTCGGCCTCCCAAAATGTTGGGATTACAGGCATGAGCCACTGCATTGGGCCCAGACTCTCTTTTTCAAAGAAAGGCCACCATTCCCAAAGTTGCAGGATTCAAATTTTTCTTGATGACGAATTATGAGCCTGCCTCAACGAGCATCTAATTACAGCCCAATATCATGCACCATACAGTATACTAGAGAGCCGGGGCAACAAAGGGGACCCTGTCCCTGCAAAAAGGAAAAATTTAAAAATTAACCAGGCGTGGGGCATGTGTCTGGAGTCCAATCTACTCAGGAGACTGAGGCAGGAAGATTGCTTAAGCCCAGGAGTTCGAGGCTGCTGTGAGCTAGATCGCGCCACTGCATTCCAGCCTGGGCTACAGAGCAAGACCCTGTCTCAGAAAAAAAATAGGCTTAAATTTCAAAGACATGTTAGCCGCTGGCCACCATGATCACAGAATTATTTCATATGGCTCCTAACACATATGTAACGTGAGAAGCAATGCCTCTAGTCACGTCTGTTATGATAAACAGATGAGTTGAGTGTGATCCCTGAATACCACCTTTAAAGAAGATTCTATTGTAAAAGAAACCACTAACACTTTCTCAATGAAAGAGCTGATTGGTAAACAGGGATACTTTTTTTTTTTTTGAAATGGAGTCTCGCTCTGTCGCCCAGGCTGGAGTGCAGCGGCACAATCTTGGCTCATAGCAACCTCCGCCTCCTGGGTTCAAGCGATTGTCCTGCCTCAGCCTCCCAAGTAGCTGGGATGACAGGCGCCCACCACCACACCTGGCTAATTTTTGTATTTTTAGTGGGGTTTCACCATTTTGGCCAGGCTGGTCTCAAACTCCTGACCTCAAGTGATCCTCCTGCTGCGGCCTCCCAAAGTGCTGGGATTACAGGTGTGAGCCATCGTGACTGGCTGGTAAACAGGAATACCATGAGCCAGTTGTTATACTATTAGTAGCCTGAATCGGCCACATGTATTTACACCATGAATATCAGCAAATGATACAAATGTGGGCTTACTTTTCCCATAGAGAACTGGTTGACCAGCATGCTGTTACTGAGAAACCCCGGATTTCCATCCAGGTCCTGTTCCTTGCTGCACAGAGAGCCATTCTCTGAGATTTCAACTACTGCCAAGGAAGAAGGCTTTCACTGGGTGCTGCAACCAAGGAGGTGGGAGCTCAGTCTCAAATCCATCTCCCTGACTGACTAAAACTAGGCTTTACTACAGCAGGGAAGAAATGTAACAATGTGTAAGAAAACAGGAACCAGGGAGTGCCAAGGAGGCACCTGCTACCCTGAATCCCTGAGTTTCAGTTCTTTGATACTTTTCTTTTTTTTTTAGACTGAGTCTCGCTCTATCGCCAGGCTGGAGTGCAGTGGTGGGATCTCGGCTCACTGCAACCTCCACCTCCCGGGTTCATGCCATTCTCCTGCCTCAGCCTCCCAAGTAGCTGGGACTACAGGCGCCCGCCACCACACCCAGCTATTTTTTGTATTTTTAGTAGAGACAGGGTTTCATCATGTTGGCCAGGATGGTCTCAAACTCTTGACCTCGTGATCTGCCCACCTCGGCCTCCCAAAGTGCTGGGATTACAGGCGTGAGCCACTGCACCCAGCCGATACTATTTTTTTTTTTTTTTTTTTTTTTTTTGAGGCAGGGTCTTGCTTTGTCACCCAGGCTGGAGTGCAGTGGCGTGATCTCGGCTCACTGCAACCTCCACCTCCCAGGTTCAAGCAGTTCCCCTGCCTCAGCCTCCCAAGTAGCTGGGACTACAGGCACATGCCACCACGCCTGGCTAATATTTTCTATTTTTAGTAGAGACGGGGTTTCACCGTGTTAGCCAGGATACTCTCGATCTGACTTTGTGATCGGCCTGCCTCAGCCTCCCAAAGTGCTGGGATTACCGGTGTGAACCAAGGGGCCCGGCAGATACCTTTTTTATAGGCCCGAAAGGCTTTTCCCGAGGAAGGAACTCAAATTTAAAAAAATACAAGTTTCAAGCTTTAACAGCAGAAGGATTCATTTCTATGTTTATCCAGAAACAACTGTCTCTGGGACTCTTAGGCTGGTTTCAGTACCATGGGTGCATACTGAAGAACGATGCTGAAACCCTTGACAAGGAGAATCACACACCCTTCCCACGTGGACACCCCTCCTGTCTTCTGCTCAGTGCCACTTCAGTAATGGTCTATGTGGAAAGTTGAGTTTCCCCAGGTAGTCAGGAGCATCTTAATGCTACGAAGCCAGGCTTAATGTGGTTGACACATAGGGGTTGTTTAAACAAACAAAAAAAAAACAAACCTTCAGTTGATATATTTTTTTCATTAAGAACGATGCTTTTGGCCGGCCGCGGTGGCTCAAGCTTGTAATCGCAACACTTTGGGAGGCCAAGGCGGGTGGGTCACTTGAGGTCAGGAGTTCGAGACCAGCCTGGCCAGTATGGCGAGACCCCATCTCTACTAAAAATACAAAAAAAACTAGCCAAGCATGGTGGCGCACACCTATAATCTCATTTACTCGGGAGGCTGAGGCAGGAGAATCACCTGGAGGTAAGGGTGGCAGGAGCCAAGACTGCACCACTGCACCCTAGCCTGGGCCACAGAGTGAGACTCCATCTCAAACAAATAAACAAAAATAAATAGATAAATGCAAACAACTAGAAGAATGCACTCTTTGATTCCAATTTCTGTCAAGGTGGGAATGGCTGATACCAGATCTTTTCCTGAGGACAGGTTTGGAGAAGAAGAAGGAAGGGATAAAGAACAGGATTGTTGGGGCCTGAAGAAAGCACGGGAAGTGTGGGCAGCAAGAAATAAGACAGCTGCAGAGTTGAGAGGCCGGCATGTGAATAAAATGTGGCTGATGGTGGCTTCATTATGCCCAGATCCTATCTGATCAAGAAGCTTGTCTTTAGAGCACAAAAGGAGAAATCAACACGAATAGACACCGCAGCTCTCTGTCTTACGCCAGCATCTCCTGGGGGAAGGAGCTCTCGCTACATTCTCTCCTGGAACTGAAAACCAATTCTACTTTACTCTGTGCACATTGATCTAGTTGTCAGTGCTGTAAAAACACCAGTTTATGTCAAAACCAGAAAAACGTATCAGATAAAAGGCAAGATTAGACTAGTGCCTACTGTTGGCAAGTATTTGAGGAAAAGACACTAAAGGAAAGAATTTGGCAATTTGGAGAAGTCTTGAAACAATGCATATACTTTGGGCCAGGCACAGTGGCTCACGCTTGTAATCATAACATTTTGGGAGACCAAAGTGGGTGGATCACTTAAGGCCAGGAGTTCGACACCAGCCTGGCCAAGATGGTGAAACCCCATCTCTACTAAAGATATAAAAAAATTAGCCAGGCATGGTGGCACGTACCTGTAGTCCCAGCTATTCGGGAGGCTGAGGCAGGAGAATTGCTTGAACTTGGGAGGCAGAGGTTGCAGTGAGCCCAGATCACGCCACTACACTTCAGCCTGGACAACAGAGCAAGACTCTGTCCCCCGCAAAAACAACAACAACAAAAAAAAAAAAACAGAAAAAGAGAAGAGCTTTGTGAGTCCTCTTCCTTTTTTTTTTTTTTAAATAAATAGAGATGGGATCTTGCTGTGTTGCCCAAGCTAATTTCAAAGTCCTGGCCTCATGCGATCCTCTTGCCTTGGCCTCCCAAAGTGCTGGGATTACAGACATGGGCCACCTTGCCAAGCCAGTAAGTCTTCTAAACTCTTCTAAACATTTATCCTAAGAGGATCAAATAAGTATCCAAAGATGTATGTAAAAAATATGTCTACAGAATTTTTTAAATCCTAAGTATCTATCAATGGGGAATGGATAAAATATTATGGTAGGCTGGGCGTGGTGGCTCACACCTGCAATCCCAGCACTTTGGGAGGCCAAGGCAGGAGGAACACTTGAGGCCAGGAGTTCACAACCAACCTGGGCAACAGAATGAGACCTCTATCTCTATAGAAAATTTAAACAAAGAAAAAGCCAGGTGTACAGACACACACCTATAGTCCCAGTACTTGGGAGGCTGAGGTGGGAGGATCAATGGAGTCCAGAAGTTCGAGGTTTCAGTGAGCTGTGATAGTGCCACTGCACTTCAGCCTGGGCAACAGAACAAAACTGTCTCTAACCAGAACAAAACAACAACCACAGCTACACACACACACACACACACACACACACACACACACACAAAATGATACCTCCACACAAAAGAACTATTGTTAACCATTAAAAATGATGTAGATGAGGCCAGGCATGGTGGCTCACGCCTGTAATCCCAACACTTTGGGAGGCTGAGGCGGGCGGACCATGAGGTCAGGATATTGAGACCATCCTGGCCAACATGGTGAAACCTTGTCTCTACTAAAATTACAAAAATTAGCCAGGCATGGTGTCACGTGCCTGTAGTCCCAGCTACTCAGGAGGCTGAGGCAGGAGAATCGCTTGAACCCGGGAGGCAGAGGTTACAGTGAGCTGAGATCGTGCTACCGCACTCCAGCCTGGGCGACAGAGAGAGACTCCATCTCAAAAAAAAAAAAAATGATGTAGATGATTAGTGATATGAAAATATGGGCTGGGCGTGGTGGCTCATGCCTGTAATCCCAGCACTTTGGGAGGCTGACGCTGGCGGATCACCTGAGGTCAGAAGTTCGAGACCAGCCTCACCAACATGGAGAAACCCCATCTCTACTAAAAATACAAAACTAGCCAGGTGTGGTGGTGCATGCCTGTAAACCCAGCTACTTGGGAGGCTGAGGCAGGAGAATCACTTGAACCCAGGAGGTGGAGGTTGCGGTAAGCCAAGATGGCCCCATTGCACTCCAGCCTGGGCAACAAGAACGAAACTCCATCTCAAAAAAAAAAAAAAGAAAGAAAGTTGGGCACAGTGGCTCACGCCTGTAATCTCAGCACTTTGGGAGGCCGAGGCAGGCAGATCACAAGGTCAGGAGTTCGAGATCAGCCTGACCAACATGGTGAAACCCACCTCTACTAAAAATACAAAAATTAGCTGGACATGGTGGCGCATGCCTGTAATCCCAGCTACTCAGGAGGCTGAGGCAGAGAATCTTTTGAACCCAGGAAGCAGAGGTTGGAGTGAGCCGAGATCACAACACTGCACTCCAGCCTGGGTGACAGAACAAGACTCCGTATCAAAAAAAAAAAAAGAAAAAGAAAAAAAAAAAGAAAATATGATCAAAATTATGCCGATGAGTGAAAAACTTTATAACGATATGTTTATTATGATACTGCTATTACATATTTACATATTTCTGTATATACACTCATGAAAAAAGAGACGAGAATGTAATTGACAAAATGGTAACAGTAGTTATGTCTGGATGATGTGATTTCAAGTGAATGCTTTCTGTTACCTGTATTTTCTAGTATTTATGCATTTATCATATATTTGCGTATTAAAAGTCATAGAGTTTTGAAAAGGAACATCGCCAATGAAAAAGGAAGTGGGCGCAGAGGATGGATGTGGCTGTCATTTTTGTCTCTGCTGACCAAAGGTGATTTAAGGATATGTGTGGATGCGCAAATAGTGGTAGAGAAAGAGTAGTCATTCCTGGGATACACAGAATTTTTTTCTTTTTGGATACAGGGTCTCACTCTGTTGTCCTGGCAGGAGTACAGTGGTGCGATCAGAGCTCACTGCAGTCTCAACCTCCTGGGTTCAAACGATCCTCCCACCTCAGCCTCCTGAGTAGCTGGGACTACAGGCACACACCATCACATCCAGCTAATTTTTAAATTTTTTTGTAGAGATGGGGTCTAACTATGCGGCCCAGGCTGGTCTTGAACTCCTGGGCTCAAGTGATCCTCCTGCCTTGGCCTCCCAAAGTGCTGGGATTACAAGTATGAGCCACGGCGCCTGGCCCACAGATTTTTTTATGTTGGGCTGGGCCTGGTTTCTATTTGTGTCTGACCACCTACCCCTGTCCCCTTGACATTGGTGAGATCTATTCATTCCAACTTCATTAATGTCTAAGAGACGTGATGTTCACTGAGAACCTTTTAAAATTTTACAGCCATTTTGTATTGGGGGAAATACCAAGTGCTACTTCTCATAAAACTGAAAAATTCTCCACAGCTTTTTTTTTTTTTTTTTTTTTTTTTTTTTTTTTTTTGAGACAGTCTCACTCTGTCACCTAGGCTGGAGTACAGTGGCATGATCTCAGCTCACTGCAACCTCCACTTCCCAGGTTCAAGCAATTCTCCTGCCTCAGCCTCCTGAGGAGCTGGGATTACAGGCTCATGCTACCATGCCCAGCTAATTTTTATATTTTTAGTAGAGACGGGGTTTCACCATGTTGGTCAGACTGGTCTCGAACTCCTGACCTCATGATCTGCCCGCCTTGGCCTCCCGAAGTGCTGAGATTACAGATGTGAGTCAGTGGGTTTTAATTAGCCTATCCTTCACATTTCCTTACATATTCCTCGAAATAGACAAATACTGAAATTTTAAGAACAGAATGTATTCCCCCTTCTGCACGCACTGCACTTTCATTCTCCTGTCCTGTTTGAACTTTGGCCAGTCGCCTTTAACATGAAAAGGCTGTTGCCCCTGGGGCGGGGCGCCCACAGTCTAAGATGTTAAAAGTCATCCTGAATGGCAGACAGAACAATGAACATATGCCCAACTAGGGTTCTTTGGAACATCATTGCCAACCCCTCCATTGAGCTCATCAATACCTAACATACCAACTCTCTCCTCGACCAAGCAATGAATGCATGATTTTGATTTTCCCTGAAGCCAGCCCTGTGTGGGCTTTTTTTTTTTGAGACAGAGTCTCACTCTGTCGCCCAGGCTGAGTGCAGTGGTGCGATCTTGGCTCACTGCAACTTCCACCTCCCAGGTTCAAGCGATTCTCGTGCCTCAGCCTCCCGTGCCTCAGCCTCCCGAGTAGCTGGGATTGTAGGCGTGCCACCACGCCCAGCTAATTTTTGTATTTTTAGTAGAGACAGGGTTTCACCATATTCGCCAGGCTGGTCTTGAACTCCTGACCTCATGATCCGCCCGCCTCGGCCTCCCAAAGTGCTGGGATTACAGGCGTGAGCCACCACACCCGGCCTCTGTGTGGGCTTTTATGGAGAATCCCAAGGAAGTTGATCTCAAGCTTCCTACTACTATCGAATTAACCTGCGAAACAGAGAACCGATGAATGAAAAATGCAAGACAATGCATATTCAGGCACTGAGTTGGTCGTAGGGCCTGGAAATGCTGGTGAGTTAGGTAAATCGGGTCTAGTGTGGACTGACACGATCAAGAAGGGGTGCTGGGTCATGATAGATGGGAAGTTTCTCTTGGGGAAGAGAAAGGCCCTTTAAGTTGGCAAACGGGCCAAGCAGAGACATGGGGTGTGTAGAGAGGTGAGGATGCTGCCTTGGAGGAGGCTTAGGTTCTTTTTTTTTTGTAGACAGAGTCTCGCTCTGTCACCCAGGCAGAGTGCAGTGACGTGATCTTGGCTCACTGCAAGCTCCGCCTCCCGGGTTCACGCCATTCTCCTGCCTCAACCTCCTGAGTAGCTGGGACTACAGGCGCCCACCACCATGCCCAGCTAATTTTTTGTATTTTTAGTAGAGACAGGGTTTCACCATGTTAGCCAGGATGGTCTTGATCTGACCTCGTGATCCGCCCACCTCAGCCTCCCAAAGTGCTGGGATTACAGGCGTGAGCCACCGCTCCTGGCCTACTTAGGTTCTTTTCAGTAGGAATTCAAAGAGGAGGTTAGAAAGATGGAATTGCACCAAATTAAGAAAGGTGGTGAAAAGCCTGGGAAAGAGCCCAGGCCTCAGGCTGTAGCAAAAGGCAGCCTTCGCATGGCAGGTGGGAGTGAGGTCTTGAGCAACAGAGGGACGTGACGAAGGCAACGTTCTACACGGTAGCACAATTCCTCAACAAGATTTTAAGGATGGTAATTCCTAGGAAACCAATAAACACGTGAGCGCATGTCCTCCCTGTTCTGGGCGAGCCTGCGTTCCCTGCTTTACCTCTTGTGGTTTTCAACTGTCTAAAACAAAGACTCTTTCTTACTCCAACCATTAACCAGTTTTCCTGCTTTTGTTTTTCTTTTTTTTTTTTTTGAGACAGAGTTTCACTCTTGTTGCCCAGGCTGGAGTGCAATGGTGCGATCTCAGCTCACCGCAACCTCCGCCTCCCAGGTTCAAGCGATTCTCCTGCCTCAGCCTCCCAAGTAGCTGGGATTACAGGCATTCACCACCATGCCCGGCTAATTTTTTTTTTTTTTTTTTTTTTTTTGTATTTTTAATAGAAATGGCATTTCTCCATATTGGTCAGGCTGGTCTTGAACTCCCGACCTCAGGTGATCCGCTTGCCTCGGCCTCCCAATGTGCTGGGATTATAGGCGTGAGCCACCACACCCAGCCCTTGCTTTTGTTTTTCTTAATTCACATAGGTTTGCAATTGCTCCACTGAATTTGGCTTTGGATGGAAAAATCCTCCATCGTCCCTCCAGCTAGAAAAATACCTTCATTTTCTCTGTGTTTGGAAACAAGACCATAGGACCTGGTGTAGTCCCAAACATAATATGTGCATGTGCTCCAGGCCACATCACCCAAGCCTTCCACACTGCTCCCAGGACCACCTACCAGGCCCCACCTGTAGGTTGGGTGACCCCTCACAGCCCAGTAGGAATTCAGGCAGGGGCTTCATGAGAGACAAAGGGGACAAACCTGAACTCCTACCTGGGAACTCCAAATACCGAGCCTTCATCCACACAGGAGCCACTGGTTGTAAGACAGCCCTCCTGAGGTGCTTCTGACCAGAGAGGACAAAGGAGCTACTTGGTTTGGAGGGAAAAAGGCTAAAGAAAGTCACCCTGACCCCTGGGCCACATGGCTCTTGCCTCAACTGTCTTCTCAGAACAGCCTAAATATCTCCAAAGAAATGCCACCTATGGTCAGGCATGGTGGCTTATTCCTGTAATCCCACCACTTTGGGAGGCTGAGACCGGAGGATCACTTGAGCCCAACAGTTCAACACCAGGCTGGGCAACAAAGCAAGACCCCACCTCTACAAAAAAATTATTATTATTATTATTTTTTTTTTTTGAGACAGAATCTTGCTCCGTCACCCAGGCTGGAGCGCAGTGGTGAGATCTTGGGTCATGGCAACCTCCACCCCCTGGGTTCAAGCATTTCTTGTGCCTCTGCCTCCTGAGTAGGTGGAATTACAGGTGTGTACCACCACGCCCAGCTAATTTTGGTATTTTTAGTAGAGACAGCGTTTCACCGTGTTGGCCAGGCTAGTCTTAGACTCCTGACCTCAGGTGATCCACCCGCCTCGACCTCCCAAAGTACTAGGATTACAGGTGTGAGCCACCATGCCTAGCCAAAAAAAATTTTAATAATAAAAAAGAGGGCTGAGTGCAGTGGCTCACGCCTGTAATCCCAGCACTTTGGGAGGCCGAGGTGGGTGGATCACGAGGTCAGGAGATCAAGCCCACCCTGGCTAACATGGTGAAACCCCGTCTCTATCAAAAAAAAAAAAAAAAATACAGAAAATTAGCCAGGTGTGGTGGTATGCACCTGTAGTCCCAGCTACTCAGGAGGCTGAGGTAGGAGAATTGCTTGAACCCAGGAGGCGGAGGTTGCAGTGAGCCAAGATCACACCACTGCACTCCAGCCTGGGCAGCAGAGTGAGACTCTGTCCAAAAAAAAAAGATACAAATAGTATACATCTGACAAAGGACTAATATCCAGAATCTACAATGAACACAAACAAACTAGCAAGAAAAAAAAATCCCATCAAAAAATGGGCTAAGGACATGAATAGATAATTCTCAAAAGAAGATATATAAATGGCCAAGAAATATGAAAAAATTCCCAACATTGTCCGGGTGCGGTGGCTCACACCTGTAATCCCAGCACTTTGGGAGACTTTGGGAGGCCGAGGCAGGCGGATCACGAGGTCAGGAGATCGAGACCATCCTGGCTAACACAGTGAAACCCCATCTCTACTAAAAATACAAAAAAATTAGCTGCGCGTGGTGGCGGGTGCCTGCAGTCCCACCTACTCGGAAGGCTCAGGCAGGAGAATGTTGTGAACCCCGGAGGTGGAGCTTGCAGTGAGCCAAGATCACGCCACTGCACTCCAGCCTGGGCGACAGAGCGAGACTCCATCTCAAAAAAAAAGAAAAAAAAGAAGTATCTCACCACCCCTAGTCAACGTAGTGTTGGAAGTTCTGGCCAGGGCAATCAGGCAGGAGAAGGAAATAAAGGGTATTCAATTAGGAAAAGAGAAAGTCAAGTTGTCCCTGTTTGCAGATGACATGATTATATATCTAGAAAACCCCATCGCCTCAGCCCAAAATCTCCTTAAGCTGATAGGCAACTTCAGCAAAGTCTCAGGATACAAAATCAGTGTGCAAAAATCACAAGCATTCTTATACACCAATAACAGACAAACAGAGAGCCAAATCATGAGTCAACTCCCATTCACAATTGCTTCAAAGAGAATAAAATACCTAGGAATCCAACTTACAAGGGATGTGAAGGACCTCTTCAAGGAGAACTACAAACCACTGCTCAATGCAATAAAAGAGGATACAAACAAATGGAAGAACATTCCATGCTCATGGGTACGAAGAATCAATATCGTGAAAATGGCCATACTGCCCAAGGTAATTTATAGATTCAATGCCATCCCCATCAAGCTACCAATGACTTTCTTCACAGAATTGGAAAAAACTGCTTTAAAGTTCATATGGAAACAAAAAAGAGCCCGCATTGCCAAGTCAATCCTAAGCCAAAAGAACAAAGCTGGAGGCATCACACTACCTGACTTCAAACTATACTACAAGGCTACAGTAACCAAAAGAGCATGGTACTGGTACCAAAACAGAGATATAGACCAATGGAACAGAACAGGGCCCTCAGAAATAATGCTGCATATCTACAATCATCTGATCTTTGACAAACCTGACAAAAACAAGCAATGGGGAAAGGATTCCCTATTTAATAAATGGAGCTGGGAAAACTGGCTAGCCATATGTAGAAAGCTGAAACTGGATCCCTTCCTTACACCTTATACAAAAATTAATTCAAGATGGATTAGAGACTTAAATGTTAGACCTAAAACCATAAAAACCCTAGAAGAAAACCTAGGCAGTACCATTCAGGACATAGGCATGGGCAAGGACTTCATGTCTAAAACACCAAAAGCAATGGCAACAAAAGCCAAAATTGACAAATGGGATCTAATTAAACTAAAGAGCTTCTGCACAGCAAAAGAAACTACCATCAGAGTGATCAGGCAACCCACAGAATGGGAGAAAATTTTTGCAATCTACTCATCTGACAAAGGGCTAATATCCAGAATCTACAAGGAACTCCAACAAATGAACAAGAAAAAAACAACCCCATCAACAAGTGGGCAAAGGATATGAACAGACACTTCTCAAAAGAAGACATTTATGCAGCCAAAAGACACATGAAAAAATGCTCATCATCACTGGCCATCAGAGAAATGCAAATCAAAACCACAATGAGATACCATCTCACACCAGTTAGAATGGAGATCATTAAAAAGTCAGGAAACCACAGGTGCTGGAGAGGATGTGGAGAAATAGGAACACTTTTACACTGTTGGTGGGACTGCAAACTAGTTCAGCCATTGTGGAAGTCAATGTGGCGATTCCTCAGGGATCTAGAACTAGAAATACCATTTGACCCAGCAATCCCATTACTGGGTATATACCTAAAGGATTATAAATCATGCTCCTATAAAGACACATGCACACGTATGTTTATAGCAGCACTATTCACAATAGCAAAGACTTGGAACCAACCCAAATGTCCAACAATGATAGACTGGAATAAGAAAATGTGGCACATATACACTATGGAATACTATGCAGCCATAAAAAATGATGAGTTCGTGTCCTTTGCAGGGACATGGATGAAGCTGGAAACCATCATTCTCAGAAAACTATCGCAGGGACAAAAAACCAAACACCACATGTTCTCACTCATAGGTGGGAATTGAACAATGAGAACACATGGACACAGGAAGGGGAACATCACACACCGGGGCCTGTTGTGGGGTGGGGGGAGGGGGAGAGATAGCATTTGGAGATATACCTAATGTTAAATGATGAGTTACTGGGTTCAGCACACCAACATGGCACATGTATACATATGTAACTAACCTGCACGTTGTGCACATGTACCCTAAAACTTAAAGTATTAAAAAAAAAAACGCTCACAATAATACCCCCCAAAAAGAAAGAAAGAAAGAAAAAATGCCCAACATTACTAATAATCAGGGAAATGCAAATCAAAATCACAATGTGATACCACCTGACTTCTGCAAGAATGGCCATAATCAAAAAATAATAGATGTCGGCGTGGAAGCAGTGAACAGGGAGCACTTCTACACTGCCGGTGGGAACGTAAACTAGTGCAACCACTATGGAAAACACTGTTGGAGATTCCTTAAGGAACTAAAAGTAGATCTACCATTTGATCCAGCAATCCCACTACTGGGTACCTACCCAGAAGAAAAGAAGTCATTATACGAAAAACATACTTGCACATGCATGTTTATAGCAGCACAATTCACAATTTTAAAAATCTGGAACTAGGCCGAGCACGGTAGCTTACATCTGTAATCCCAACACTTTGGGAGGCCAAGGAGGGCAGATCACTCGAGGTCAGGAGTTCGAGAGCAGCCTCAGCAACATTTTGAAATCTCATCTCTACTAAAAATACAAAAATTAGCTGGGCGCGGTGGTGTGTGCCTGTAATTCCAGCTACCCGGGAGGCTAAGGTATGAGAATCACTTGAACCCGGGAGGCAGAAGTTGCAGTGAGCTGAGACTGTGCCACTGTACTCCAGCCTGGGTTACAGAGTGAGGACTCCGTCTCAAAAAAAAAAAAAAAGTGGAACCAATCCAAATGTCCATCAATCAACGAGTGGATAAAGAAACTATGGTGTACATATCCATATATATATATGATGGAATACTACTCAGCCATAAAAAGGAATGAATCAATGGCATTTGCAGTGACCTGGATGAGATTGGAGACTATTATTCTAAGCGAAGTAACTCAGAAATGGAAAACCAAACATCGTATGTTCTCACTCGTAAGTGGGAGC